>NT_187513.1:0-186739 GCF_000001405.40 Homo sapiens | reverse complement strand
GAATTCAGTGGAGTGGAGTGGAGTGGAGTGGAATGTAATGTAATGGAATGGGATGGGATGGAGTGGAATGGAATGGAGTGGAGTGGAGTGGAGTGGAATGGAGTGGAATGCAATGGGATGTGATGGAATGGAGTGGAGTGGAGTTGAGTGGATTGAAATAGAATGGAATGGAGTGGAGAGGAGTGTAGTGGAATGGAATGGAATGGAATGGAATAGAAGGGAATAGAATGGTGAAATGAAATGTGAGCTGAGATTGTGCCACTGCACTCCATCCTGGGTGACAAGTGAGATTCTATCGAAAGAAAGGAATGGAACGGATTAGAGTGGAATGGAATGGAGTGGGGTAGAGTGGAGTGGAGTGTAGTGGAGTAGAGTGGAATAAAGAGGAATGGAATGGGATGTAATGGAAAGGAATGCAGTGGAGTGGAGTAAAGTGGAGTGGAGCGGAGTGGAGTGGTGTGGAGTGGAGTGGAGTGGAGTGGAATGGAATGGAATGGAATGGAATGGAATGGAATGGCACGGTGAAATGAAATGTGGGCTGAGATTGTGCCACTTCACTACAGCCTGGATGACAGAGTGAGTTCCTGAAGAAATAAAATAATGTAATAGAATGGATTGGAATGAAATGGAATGGAGTGTAGTGGACTGGAGTAGAGTGGAATGGAGTGGAGTAGAGTGGAAGGGAATGGAATGAAATGAGATGGAATGGAATGGAATGGAATAGAATGGAGTGGAGTGGAGTGCAAAAATCCTCAATAAAATACTAGCAAGCCGAATCCAGCAGCAAATCAAAAAGCTTATCCACCATGATCAAATGGGTTTCATCCCTGGGATGCAAGGCTGGTACAACATACGCAAATCAGTAAACGTAATCCATCATATAAACAGAACCAACGTCAAAAACCACGATTATCTCAATAGATGCAGAAAAGCCCTTTGACAAAATTCAACAACCTTCATGCTAAAAACTCTCAATAAATTAGATATTGATGGGACGTATCTCAAAATATTAAGAGCTATTTATGACAAACCCGCAGCCAATATCATACTGAATGGGCAAAACCTGAAAGCATTCCCTTTGAAAATCTCAGTTACCTTTCTTTTGGATATGTGTGTGAGGAAAGAGTACCTACAAACTACCCTTTTAGTTAAATGCCATATACAATAAATATTAATACCTACAGTCCTCATGTTGTACATTAGAGCCCTCAATTTGTTAATTCTACATATCTGCAACTTTGCATCCTTCGAATTCTCTATCTCCATTTTCTCTTCTCACCCCCAGCCCCTAGTAACCACTGTTTTATACTCTATCTCTGCATATTTACCTTTTTGCTGTTTTTGTCCTGAGAAGTTTATTGGGACTTTCAGCTAGGAGATAATATGTTCTGAGTCTTGATTATCTCAAATTATATCAGGTAAGAAGTTTTACTTGTCTGGAGAGCAGAGAGCAAGTGCATAATTTTATGCAGAAGAGGGAATAAAGAGAATTCTCTAATTAAAATTTGAATCAGAAATATGGTTCATATTTTTATGTACAACAATCTCTAAGGCTTCCTGGAAAGGAATTAGCTGCCTGATTTTTTTTCATTTGAATCCTCTAATACATGAAGAGGATGATTCTACCATACCAATCACAAGAATGATATCTGTAGAATCAAAAGTTGAAATCCTATTATCCTAGAAGTTTTTTCAGAAAACTTGAACATGTATTGAAATGTCATGCTGGTCATATATGTTACAGCAATGAGGAATTTACTTATTATATACTTTAGCTTTTTAGCCCTTTCCCTGCCCACCAGAAATGTTTCTTTTGAATCCAATTTGGTCCTCATAGTTTTAGAATGTTAAGGAATGTATAGGGGTATCTTTTTTCTTCTTTTTTTTTTTGTCAAGCTATTGTATATTTTTACTTTACCTGTTTGGGTATGTAGTTACTATTTGTTTGGACTGTCATACTAGAAAAAAATTATAGTGAATTTTACATGTATGGAGTCTTCATTAATCTGTATAAACTGACAAGTTTAGAATATCAAAGTCAACACTGTAAAAAATAAAGTGATATTTTATCTGGTCTATCTCCTTGCAAATAAAAGAACAATAAATTCTGTACTATTATGAAATATAAGAGCTTGAAAATTTTTCAAGTGTCTTGTATAGAATGGCCTTCGAATTCAAGGTATAAACTACAACAAAACACTTTCGAGATCTAGTTTGATTGAAGAGTGCATTCTTACTTATTTATATATTCTCTGCAATTTCTGATTCAAGATAGTCCACAATTCTAAAGGAAAACCAAAATAGAATAATAATTACAAAACAAAATAAAAAGTAATTGAGGAAGACAATTGAGCAACTTATTTTTGACAACTAGCTTTTTAACAAACAGAAAAGTGCACTAAAAATACTGCCTAGTTGTTTAAAGTAGGCTGAGATCTGACTGTATCCCCTGAGTGTCATAAAGAAAAAACTACCTTTGAGGGAGCACAGTGATTAAATTTAAAAGATTTATTGTTTAACCTCAGGAAGACTTTCAATAACTTTTTATAAATTGTATACAGTTAATGGAAGACATGCTAGGCTTCTTGTAAGAATTTGTTCCAGATCACTGTGTATAATTAATGGCTTGTCTACATATTTTTTCAATAAAACTGTTCATGAAGAATTTTAAGTATGCACTTTCAGTACCAGAATGAATATATCTTTGTGAAGATACCATTTATGTACCATAACATCCAAAGCATAATGAGGAGATTTTGATACACTGCAGATTTAGAACTGAGTTGGAAAACAAAACTTCAACATACTGTCTTGTCAGCACAAAGCAAATAAATTCATCACTGTCAGTTGAGATTTAAATTCACAAACTTATAAGCAATAAAATCAAAGTAATTTTGTTATAAGTTTTTTGACACCAGATTATATGGGGTAAATAATTTACTTTCTAATCAAGCAATTGATACATATAAACCTGAAATAGAGAGTTTTGCCTTTTAATTAGATACATTGTTACGCAAAGAGTGGTTGAAGCTGCAGTTGAGAATTATCTTTTTCTCTTTTTGCTGTTCTTACAAGGACAGTTTCTAGAATTCTTTTCAAAACAATAGAACAGAAAATTTCACTTACTCACTTAATTTAACTTTTGTTAAAGTACTTTGCCAAAATTAGCAAACTATGAAAGGAAAGTTTGCCTTTTCAATATATATGTAAGTGGCAAGTAAAAGTTGTTCTTAAATCACGTGATCTCATAGAAATAACATGGGATAAAAAGAGTTCTGAAGGTGTTCAGGAAATGCCAGTCCTAAATGTATTGCTTTGGTGTACTGATTACATTGAACTGAAAATATTTGAAAAATAACAACTGTGGGACATGCTTTCTCTGCACTCCCTTTACGTTCCTCAAGAGAGATCCTCCAAAAGGAATTTTCAATACCAGAATGAATGTATCTTTGTAAAGATACCATTTATCTACCATAACATCCAAAGCATGATGAGGAGATTTTTATACACTGCAGATTTAGAACTGAATTGGAAAACAAAGCTTCAAGATACTGTCTTGTCAGCACAAAGACATTCATCTCCTTCCTAGGAGTTTCATCAGCCAGGGAAAATTGACTCCTCATATCACAGGAGACAAGACTAAGAGTCCATTCCACACCAAGGCAGACTGCCACAAACTATCATCTATGCTCCTAGGGGTCTGGTCATCTTTCCCAAAAGTCATTTGCTCTCCCTTAAGTTTCCTACATTCTTCCTCCTGCCTTCCCTACAAGCTCCTAAATCTCACTGGGTTTTTTTCTTGGTGGTGTTTTGTTTGTTTTGTTTTGTTTTGTTTTTGATTCCACGTTTCTTTCCTGTGATTCCCCCATGCGTGTAATAAATGTGTACACATTTTCTTCTTTTGACATGCCTGTTATCCATTTATTCAATAGACTCAGTTATCATACCTTCAGAGGGTAGAGGGAAAGGTCTCCAAGTCCTACAGTTCCAAAAGAAAATAGCTAGTAATGCAAATGCAAAAGTCATATAAACTTTGAGACAAAGTTAGCGTCTTATATGGTACGTTCAGAAAGAAGAGGTGTGTTGCACACCAAGGGACATTTTCCTGGTCTTAGCTACTAAGTTTCTCTGAGAAGAAGCAGTCACTACTACAGCAGTTAAACACCTGACTCCCAAATTATAAAAGCCTAAGTGTTCAGATTAAATCATGAGTTGTCACCTGTGAATCATAAAGTCTGAACTCTTTAAATTGCAAACACACATAGAAAAACGATTCTTACACAGGGATCCATGAGTGGAACTGCAAAGTTTTGTCAAAATCTATATATATGTTTTCTTTTTAAGGGTCATAGATTTCAATATATGTTAAAAGATATCTGGGGCTAGTAAAGATTAATAACCATTTTCAGTTTTGTGCTGAAATTGGCAAATCATGGCTTTTCTCCCTCCAACACACCACCTCCCGCCTCAGCACACCACTGGTTAATCTTTATTTTCAGGAGAGAAAAAGATGTTTCATATTAATAAAGGTAAATTATACACTTGTTTGTTTTATACTTTTCCACCTCTTAAGCTTAATCGTGTTTTAATAATGTATAATTGAATACATTAACATTTAGATGTTAGTAAATGAATAACAAATGTTCATTATTTCTCTTGAGTAGAGGAATAAAAATTTTGCACCTGTTGTATAGAATGATTTTTAAAATCTCATTCAATCCTTCAGAAGTTTAAGATTTTTTTTCAAGAATTTTTATATAAAATTTTTACTCAGAAGCAGATAGCTCACAAAAAGTATGGGGGTTTTTTGGATTATAAATAAACTATTCCACTCACCAAGATGCTGAGACATCCTACTTTCTGGTATTTTGAAATAAAAACAAAACACAAGAATGTGACGATGAAGCAAGTGAAAATTAAAAGGGTACAGACTTTAGAAGTATCATAAGCTAAAAATAAAATGAAACAAACCTGTAAAGGAACCAAAAGCCCAGGTAGATATAATACAGTAAATTATGAGAAGCTAAAAAAAATGAGGAGGTGATAAACAATAAAGTGAAAATCTCTGATAAAGCCAAAACTACTTGAATGGCAGTCAACAAAACAGAAGAAAAAAATGACACTCATAACAAGGCAGAACTATGGAAATGCATCCCTGGGGGTAAGATAATAGAGTTGCGAATTAGTGGAGGTGGATCACAAATACTGGCCAAATAAAGCCCGCTAACATAATTCAAAAGACAGAGAAATTCTGTAGCTGAAGACAAAAAGTCTGAAATACATTATGGTATAGTCAAATGAGTGTCATTTCTAATAGACACACTTATTTTTCAAGAGTTGATAATATGAAGTAAAAATTTAGTATGCAAAGTTCAAATTTTCCATTTGTTGAGTAATTCATTTTTATTAAATATTTTCCAACAATTAAACTAAAGTGGTACCAGAACAGAGTAGACATTCTGAGTTTTCACTTTACAAAAGCTACACATAAATCTACGTACTTCTTAAGGGTATAAACAAAGTCAGAGCCTGTGTGATATTTCAATAAACAATTGGAGAAAATTTTTTTAAGAATAGATTATATACATAATGACCTCTTTGAGAACCTTATTTTTTTCTTTTTTTTGTGTGTGTGTTTGTTTTTTTTTTGTGTGTGTGTTTTCATTTCTTTTTTAAATTATTATTATTATACTTTAAGTTTTAGGGTACATATGCACAACGTGCAGGTTCGTTACATATGTATACATGTGCCATGTTGGTGTGCTGCACCCATTAACTCGTCATTTACATTAGGTGTATCTCCTAATGCTATCCCTCCCCCCTCCCCCCACCCCACAACAGTTCCCAGTGTGTGATGTTCCCCTTCCTGTGTCCATGTGTTCTCATTGTTCAATTCCCACCTATGAGTGAGAACATGCGGTGTTTGGCTTTTCATCTTTGCGATAGTTTACTGAGAATGATGGTTTCCAGCTTCATCCATGTCCCTACAAAGGACATAAACTCATCATTTTTATGGCTTCATAGTATTGCATGGTGTATATGTGCCACATTTTCTTAATCCAGTCTATCATCGTTGGACATTTGGGTTGGTTCCAAGTCTTTGCTATTGTGAATAGTGCCACAATAACATACGTGTGCATGTGTCTTTAGAGCAGCATGACTTATAATCCTTTGGGTACATACCCAGTAATGGGATGGCTGGGTCAAATGGTATTTCTAGTTCTAGATCCCTGAGGAATCACCACACCGACTTCCACAATGGTTGAAATAGTTCACAGTCCCATCAACAGTGTAAAAGTTTTCCTATTTCTCCACATCCTCTCCAGCACCTGTTGTTTCCTGACTTTTTAATGATTGCCATTCTAACTGGTGTGAGATGGTATCTCATTGTGGTTTTGATTTGCTTTTCTCTGATGGGCAGTGATAGCATTTTTTCATGTGTTTTTTGGCTGCATAAATGTCTTCTTTTTAGAAGTGTCTGTTCATATCCTTCGCCCACTTTTTGATGGGGTTGTTTTTTTCTTGTAAATTTGTTTGAGTTCATTGTAGATTCTGGATATTAGCCCTTTGTCAGATGAGTAGGTTGTGAAACTTTTCTCCCATTCTGTATGTTGCCTGTTCACTCTGATGGTGGTTTCTTTTGCTGTGCAGAAGCTCTTTAGTTTAATTAGATCCCATTTGTCAATTTTGGCTTTTGTTGCCATTGCTCTTGGTGTTTTAGACATGAAGTCCTTGCCCATGCCTATGCCCTGAATGGTATTGCCTAGTTTTTTTCTATGGTTTTTATGATTTTAGGTCTAACATGTAAGTCTTTAATCCATCTTGAATTAATTTTTGTATAAGGTGTAAGGAAGGGATCCAGTTTCAGCTTTCTACATATGGCTTGCCAGTTTTCCCAGCACCATTTATTAAATAGGGAATCCTTTCCCTAGTTCTTGTTTTTGTCAGGTTTCTCAAAGATCAGATAGTTGTAGATATGCGGCATTATTTCTGAGGCCTCTGTTCCATTCCATTGGCCTCTATCTCTCTTTTGGTATAAGTACCATGCTCTTTTGGTCACTGTAGCCTTGTAGTATAGTTTGAAGTCAGGTAGCGTCGTACCTCCAGCTTTGTTCTTTTGGCTTAGGATTGACTTGGCAATGCAGGCTCTTTTTTGGTTCCATATGAACTTTAAAGTAGTTTTTTCCAATTCTGTGAAGAAAGTCATTGGTAGCTTGATGGGGATGGCATTCAATCTATAAATTACCTTGGTCAGTATGGCCATTTTTACAATATTGATTCTTCCTACCCATGAGCATGGAAGGTTCTTACATTTGTTTGTATCTTCTTTTATTTCATTGAGCAGTGGTTTGTAGTTCTCCTTGAAGAGGTCCTTCACATCCCTTGTAAGTTGGATTTCTAGGTATTTTATTTTCTTTGAGTCAATTGAGATCCTTATTGTGAGATTCAATTCAGAATCTGGGATTTTGTTTTGTTTTGAGATGTAGTCTCTCTCTGTCACCAGGCTGGAGTACAGTGGCACAGTCTCTGCTCACTGCAATCTCTGCCTCCCAGGTCCAAGCGATTCTCCTGCCTCAGCCTCCCAAGTAGCTGGAACTACAGGCACGTGCCACCATACCCAGCTAATTTTTGTATGTTTTTTTAGTAGAGATGGGGTTTCACCATGTTGGCCAGGATGGTCCGGATCTGTTGACCTTGTGATTTGCCTGCCTCAGCCTCCCAAAGTGCTGGGATCACAGACGTGAGCCACTGCGCCCAGCCCAGAATCTGGGTCTTAACCAGATTTGCCATTATAAAATGAAATGAAACCAAAACCACCAGTCAATATCTGTAGCAGTGTTATTGTTGGGGAGCATGCACGTTTGTTTGAGCTTACTTATATATACAGAGCTGTTTAGCTTAATCTTTAAATTGAAAATTTTTAGTATTTTTAGAATGTTTTAGATACTTTGATGAATAAATTTTGTGTTAACAAACTACTATTAATAAAACTTATAAATTAAATATTTCTGAACACATTGGCAGATGTAAATGACAAAGTTATATTCACACAATCAGTTTTTCTTGCACAGAATTGACATTTTGTCAAAAAGTTAAAATCTTTGAAATGTGTTTTCTGTCCTCATCTTTCCCCTTTTGAGCATTTTTCCCCCTGGGTTGGTTATAAAATATTCCCTAACTTCAGGCATCTGGTTAAGTTTTGGGTTTTCTCCCTTCCTACCAACTCATATGGATTGGTAATGATCTGATAGAAGACAATTGCCAAAAATCAATCAAATATGTTTTAAATGAAACTTCTCCAATATAATATTCATGTTAATCCTTCTTTAATTGCTGAATGAGTAATAATTGTTCACTGACCCTTAAAATCCTAAAACTTAATCAGCTCACTGGAGTGGATGAATGGATGTTTGTCTAGAAGAGAATGCTTAAGGTCTACTTCAAGGAGTTCATAATAGTAAAAATGTCCTTTTCTTCCATCAGAAACTTCATCCTGATGTTTTCATCCTTGTTTTTCTACTAGCTCTCCTTCTCCAAATACACTGACTTGGAACCCCAGTTTCAGTGGTGGACTGCGTGGATTTGATTCTAAGCTATGCTATAATGAGAAAGTAGCTCTAACCCTATTCTCATTTTCTTCACCTGTAATATAGAAATCATCATCAGACAATATACAGATAGGGGCCAGTTATTTCACAGATAATAATAGGTGAAAATGGAGAGTATGTGGGTGTAGGCATGGAAAAGTGAGTTTAAATGGTTTCAGGAGTCTGTGGAAATTGTCTTTGGGTGATTCAATGTTCTCAGGGAAGCACACCCAAAAAGACATTGAGGATTTCTGGGGAAGTGTTAGGGATTAGAGACAGGATAAGATACAAAACTAGGAAAATTAGAGAGTGAATAGATTGGAACATATGTAGTATGATTGATTGATAGGCGGCACTCAGATTCTCAGTTTCAAGTGGGATATTTTTCAATTTGATCCATATAGCTAGTTGCTAAAATATATGTGGGGATTTGGTGGAAATTTGGATCTAACCAGGGTTATTTTCCTGGTTAGATTCAGCAAAGTGAAAGAGAAACAAGGAAGTTGAAGTTTCCTGGGAATGGTTGGCCACGGAATTTAGGCAGGAGAACAGGAAATAGAGTACATCAGTAGGTAAGGGTCATTATAAATATGATAAAATAATAGTTTGGAGGTCTCAGAGAGATTGAAAAATTTTATGTCAGCGTATGAAAGGGAATGATTAAAGGAGGAGTTCAGAGAATGGGATGAATGAAATTGTGACTACAGAGGAGTTGCTATTATAAGTAACGACGATGCTTCACTCAGTCCCTCTGGAAGTGTGGTCCCTGTGCTAGCAGCAACAGCATCACCTGGGAACTTACTAGAACTGCATATTCTCAGGTTACACCCCCAGATCTTCCAAATATGAAATTCCAATAGCAGGTCTCAGCAATCTCTTATTGTAACACAACTGTAGGCAATTTTGAGGCACACAGTAGTTAGCACAACTGGTCTAGTGTATGTCTTATTTGGTCTTCCTCCCCGGTTCACAGTACAGAGCTCCTGAAACTTGAAATTTCCTGATAGAGATGAGAGGACCATCCTTTACTAGTCATAAGTCCCTCTTAGCCATACCTGAGTTTATGCTATTGACATGACATGAGTGGTGGCTGGAGACCCGTATGGCTTCAGGGTGGGTGCTTGACACCAGAAACATGAAGGCATAACTAGATGGTTAAAACTGTCAGCCCTCTCCTCCATCACCTCTGAGGTGCTGGGAGGGTGATACAATGATATACTTAGAGGTCATATGGTAGCTTTGTGCCCCTTTTCACCATACCTGGCCCTATGTGTCTCTTCTATTTGACAGTTCCTGATTTGTATCAGACAGTAACTGTAAGCAAAGTGCTTTCTTGGGTTCTGTGAGCCATCTTAGCAAATTATAGAACCTGGGGAAGGAATCCATGGAAGTCCTAATTTATAGCCAGTTGGTCAGGAGTATGGCAGGCCCACAACTCCTCTCTAATGGTGGGGGGGTGGCAGTCTTGTGGTCCTGAACCCTGAACTTGTGGGATCTGATTCTATCTCCAGATAGATAGTCTCAGGATTGAATTGAATTGTAGGACACCATTTGGTGTCCTGAGAGTTGAAAAATTGATTGGGGTGAGACTAAACCAACAAATTTCATCTCAGAAGTTTGAGTAGAAATAATTCTGTTGGAAAACATTATCGTTAGATCAAAGGTGTTAATAGAACTGAGAGACCAAAATGGCAAAGAGTCATCTATGATTACACATTGTTGACATAAACTAGAATTAAGACAAGAGTATGTCAAAGAGAGTTACATTGAGCCAGGGATAAAAATAGTCAATTGATTGATTAGAATTTAGTAAATGCTATTTTTTGAAAAATTAATATTTAGTTAATTGAGATACTTAATTATCTCCATTTTGACTTTAAATTTAAAACTAAAAAATTGATATTTTATCTATTTTCCATAAATGGAAATTGAAAAGCAATAGCAAAATGCTTCGACAGAAAATCTGCCCTTCTTATTCCCAAGAGGAAGAATGGCCAACTACCTTAAGAATAAGTTAGAAAAACTTTCATAATTTTTTAAGTTGCCATATTTTATAGCTTTGAACAAGTTGAATTATTAACTAGACTGCCCAGGGAATGGAGCCATCTAATATAATTTCCTTACTATTTAGATAAAATCTTTGTTGTTGAAAATCTTAATCATTTTTAATGATCCTGTTTTCAGAGCCTGATATTAATGATTCGTGAAACTCATTAAATGCAGTTATACATCTGATTTGAAAATCATGAGGGAGATTTTTGGTCAGATATGCATAGCAAATCTATGTCACTAGACATAAGTCCCTTCTACCCATGCCACAACCTTTATGTCTACTCTTGAATTGAGGTTTTGCTACGTTTTATTTTTGAGGTTTAAGAATTATTCATTTAACTGTCGGAAAATTGTGTTTCTCTTGTTAGAATAGAGCCCAATTTATCCTTTCTATTTTTCATGGAGACATGAAAGGATGTGAATTTGCAATCAGAGAAACCTGAGTTCCACCATGCTTTCTTCCTCTTGCAAGCCATGAAATCCACAGTGGGTTAGTGGATATTACAAACCTCTGGTCCCACCTTATTAAGATGGAAAAAAATAAGACTAATTGAAAGAACAAATGTGGTAATGAGAAGAAATGGTATCAATAAAGTTCCTGGAACACAGTAAGTTCTAACAAATGCTAGTTCTTTTCTTTCATAATTCAAAATCTAAATAGAAGCCAGTTGGTAATTCCAAGATAATAGTATGAAGACAAAAAAAATGTTTGTTAACTGACCTTCAACCATTGAGACCTTATCTTATAGGAAGCAAAATTAACAAATATTTTCTCCCTTCTACAAATGTATACCCTCTGAGAAAGAGAGACAGTGTTCCAATCAAGACGATGACAGTATTCTGTGCACACATAGGAAAGGAAGAAGAATAAGAGAGAACATTTAAAAAGACAATTTTAGATAGGCATCCTATTTTTACCGGCAATAACATTTTTTAGAACTTACGGCATACAAAATAGACCTTAAATGGACTCAGTGTTGAGAAAATTTTATAAGGCTGCTTTATTTTCTTCTATGGTAAATCTAGGAACCAATAAAATAGCTTTGATAATTCACTCATTACATTCTTTCCTAACTAAACTATTTACATTATAAACTTTGTTGATATGCTGTGCTTTTGCATTAATAATTCTCATGTGTCTCATTTGTGAATACATGAAAACTAGTTGTAAAATAAGGAAAATGTAATTTTGAAACATCTTCAAAAACAGTTGCATAATTTAACAAATGTTTATAAATTTTCGTCCTTACTCTAAAACCATAGATATCCTAAAATTGATTGAAGGTAAAATGATTTTTAAAGAACTGGATTTCTCACCATGAGTTATTTTATCTCCATACAAACTGTGGTAGTGTTATACAATGGTTAAGAAGAAATTACTTAAAAATGAGAATAAAGATACAGCTTATTAACACTTCATTTTGTGGATGAGACCTGAAAAATTAAACTTTTCTTCTAGAGACAAGTTGTAGTTGTGTATATAGAGTGTGAATAGATAGTGTCCATATTTTACTGTCATTATTTAAACAGAAACATGCAATTTGCACTTCAAAAACCTACTACAAATTAACTGTGTCATTTGGAAGTGTCAAAATTATCTCATTAATGATCAGATAGGCTTTTGGCTCATTGTAATGAGATGTTCCTATAAACCTAATTTGAAAGACAAAGACAGAGTTTGGAGTCTTTAATTCTTGGTAAAAATCAGTAGCTCTATTTAGGGCTATATTTGCAAAATACTATTTCAACTCAAGCATATTTTTATTTACAAGGCACTTCACAAATGTTGACCACAAAGATGTTTCTACCTAGCAGAAATAATTATAGTTACATATAGTTGTCTAGGAATATCTTAAACATGGGGTATTAAAATAACTTTCAAGAACAAGAAGAAATGTTACACCAGGCATTTTTGCAACTAGTGCTCTATTTCAGTGCAATATTTGTGGCAATTAAAAAACATAAATGGCTTGGATATATAGCTAAGTTATCAAAGGAAAAATATGCAAAGGCATGATTATTTTATAAATGTGCCACATATGTGACTTGAGGTACAAATCCTCTAAGTTTAAAATTGTCTTTTTAAAAAAGAAATCAAAACAGACAAGTGGGCAATGAGTTATGGATACTATTATAGGTTACCCTGATAAACTAGTAAGAAGACGACTTTTGGTACTGAAAATTCCAATTAACCACATGCCCCCATTAAGGCCATGATCACTGCCAATTTTTACTCACAAAGGCTGGAGCTAGAGTTATATGGAATTCCATATGTATCTAAACCATAGATTTATCAATTATCACTTAAATACAACTTGGAAGACACTATCCAGAATTTGTAGGGCTTGGCCTTATTCTAGAGAAACATACACTGGAATAGGCAGTTGGATTTTAAATTCAGTCTTAAATCTGTTGAAAATAATGCATTTTTTTCTCAGAGATGAGATATTGTTCAACTCTTTTGACTTATTTTAGATTTGATAATATACAGTTCAAACACCATGGAGATTTACTAATCTGAATGAACACATACCAAATTTGTCTTTGCTCCAGTCTCGAAATCTGAGATTAATTCTAGCTGCTGAAGAAATTTTCCAGTGTTAGGAGTATGCTTCAATGCTGGTGACCGGTACTACTTTCTGGTAAACTATAGATGACATGTGTGCTTTCATTGCCTAAACTCACTTTGTAGAACACCATTAAATGAAAATCATCACCAGCAATTTGGGAGGCTAAGGCGGGCAGATCATTTGAGGTCAGGAGTTTGAGACCAGCCTGGCCAACATGATGAAACCCCGTCTCTACTGAAAATACAAAAACTTATCCAGGCATGGCGGGATGCACCTGGAATCCCAGCTACTTGGGAGGCTGAGGCAGGAAAATCGCCTGAACCCAGGATGTGAAGGTTGCAGTGAACAGAGATGTTGCCATTGCACTCCAGCCTGGGCAACAGAGTGAGACTTCATCTCCAAAAAAAGGAAAAAATGAGAGAGAGAGAGAAAAAAAATTATCAGTGTTCAGTGACTCTTTGTTTTTCATGCTGATAAACTATTACGAAGAAAAAGAAAATTTTCATGCTGATAAACTATTACACAGAAAAAGAAATGTATCCATTATGGACAATTAAAAGGGCTATACAATCTCTCTCATTGTATGATTCTAGTTTTCTTTATTTTTCTTTTCTTTTGTTCTTTTTTTTTTTAATACAGGATCTCACTCTCTCACCCAGGCTGGAATGCAGTGGCTCTATCTTGACTCACTGCAACCTCAGCCTCCTGGGTTCAAGCTATTCTCCTGCCTTAGCCTCCTGAGTAGCTAGGAATAAAGGCATTCACCACCACGCCAGCTAATTTGTGTATTTTTTTTAATACAGGTGGCGTTTTGCCATGTTGCCCAGGCTGGTCTTGAACTCCTGACCTCAAATGATCCTCCCGCCTCGGCCTCCCTAAGTGTTGGCATTACAGGCATAAGCCACCATGCTTGGCCTGATTCTGTTTTTTAACACAATTCTTATTACTTCTGTTTTAATTTTACAAAGCCATAGGTTTTTAATCTGGGAAACCTTTGAGAAAACATCCAGATAAATTTATAAATAGAAAAATAAATTCAGACAAATATAATTAAGTTTATGATCTAACAAGTGGGTGGCAACCGAAAACTTTCCAAGTTCCATAAACTGAAGTGAAAGGATCACTTTCCTGAAAATATTACAAAGGCTTGATAATTACCTGGATTGTACTAAAACCTACACAATCTAGTATATTCTATAGCAGCAATTCATAAAGACAGCTTCACTTACCATGTAGAATTTATACATACATTAAATTTAAGGAATGCGTTACTTGCTATTGGAGTAGGATAATAAACTCCCAGCAGAACTGATTTTCATGAATGCCTATTAAACTATCATTGATGTAGAAATTAAACAATATATTAAGCTATTCAGACCCAGATTGTGAGAGACAGAGAAAAACTTCAAAAAAGTTCAGCTACCAAATCCCTTCCTCAATAGCTCTTTGAGTCTCAAGACAGTTTCAACCACACACATCCTCAGAGTCTTATGGTCCAAACAACATTTGACTGCAGCTCTAAAGTAAGCAAACATTTGAAAAGAAACTCAAAGATCTATACCTGTAGTTATGGTCAAGGAGGTCCACCTACTGGTGGGTGAGCATGGCAAGGATAGGGACTAAGCCAAATGATGGGTTTACCAAAACAGAAACAAGAGAAGTCATTGGAAGCACAGTCCAGGTTATAACAGGAGCCCAGGCACTTGATGTGGGAACCCTATTTGTCTCATTCAGCACCTAGAGTTTTAACGTCCTATGAGGCACAGCTAATGCCCTTCATTATTTTTTTGTAATTGACTGCATAGTTTAGAACTATGCCTTGAATTTAATATCTATCTGTTGAATAAATGAATTAATAATGATGAAAATCTGTCCACAGGTTATGTGCAGTACTGAAGAGCAACTTCAGCTATTGAGGTATCTATCAGAAGTCTTACTCTCCAAAAAGCCTCTGGTTAGTTACTGATATACGTTGCTGATAATTTCACTCTCACAATGTAGGGGAAGCAGGAATGTTATCTGGCCTCTTGGCTCCTCTTCCTTTGCCTTCCACAGATCTCTCTGCTGGTTCACAGAGGAACACTTTCGTGGCTCTCAGTTCATTTTGCAATTCTGCTAGAATCTCATTCCATCCTCAGTTGTAACTACCTTGTCCTTCACCCAACGCTTATTTACGGAGGGACAGATAGCAAGAAGAAATCGCACTCTGGATTACAAAGTGGGAAGACGCACCCCTTGGCCAGAATGCCTGCCTCCTATGTTCATGAAGGATATTTCTAATTGATCTCGGCACTCTTTTCCATTGAGCCCATGTCCCAAATTGGCCGTGAGTTAGGGAGAGGGCTCTAGAGTGGGAAAGGTGTACCCAAAACTTCCCTAATCTGACTATCAAGCCTAAAAAATTAAACTTTCAATTCAACATCCCTTGTTTCTCCAACTTGGAGTGCCTGATGGTGTGGGAAGCCCCTACTCATAAAAATTCATAGTTGAAGATTGTTGGTAATTTTGCCCAACCTTCTTCTTTTCTTTTTATTCTACTTTAAGTTCTAGGGTACATGTGCACAACGTGCAGGTTCATTACATATGTATACATGTGACATGTTGGTGTGTTGCACCCATTAACTCGTCATTTACATTAGGTATATCCCCTAATGCTTTTCCTCCCCTAGCCCGTCACCCCACAACAGGTCCCGGTGTGTGATGTTCCCCTTTCTGTGTCCATGTGTACTCATTGTTTAATTCCCACCTATGAGTGAGAACATGTGGTGTTTGTTTTTTTGTCCTTGTGATAGTTTGCTGAGAATGATGGTTTCCAGCTTCATCCTTGTCCCTACAAAGGACATGAACTCATCATTTTTATGGCTGCATAGTATTCCATGGTGTATATGTGCCACATTTTCTTAATCCAGTCTATCATTGTTGGACATTTGGGTTGGTTCCAAGTCTTTGCTATTGTCAGTAGTGCCTCAATAAACTCCTTCTTTCTTTGCCTAGTTACACCTCAATGCAACCTGCTGGCAGGCCAGCCTTAAGCCCAGCAGTACAACCATGCATCTAAGCTGAGTTCTCATCAGAGCCAACTTCAATTATAAACAACTGAGATGATGCCAGAGGCCAGAATCCCTGAGAACCCAATTTGCTGTCATCACCACAGCTGAAACAAGGCGCTTGGCATCTAGAAAAGCTGATCTGTAGGAAATTTCCAATAGAGTTCAAGTTTTTCTAAGTTTAAAGTGTACAATATCATCAAGGTGAGACACTCAAGATAAAACTAGGCTTGTGTTTAAATATAATAAAAATATTTGAAGAATAGTAAGAGTGGTGACTACTTTTACACAGGAATGTTTCAAATAAATTGTTTTTTTCTTGTGCCTTTTAAATTTTGTGATTTGTCAATGAGATGCTGACATGTTTTTAATGAAGCATGCCTTGTAAAATAATAAGTGAATGAAAACTACACAGTAATATTTACATCAACAAAGCTAGAAGAAGACTGTATGTCTCAAGAGGCTCCATCATCTACCCAGTGGCCACTTCACCAAATTAAGATCCAAATACCAAAAAGAAAAGTAATTAAAATTTGTGTTGTATGCCTTATAAGACCAAACCTATAAAATGAGGGGAAACTTCACAATTACTTGTAATTTGCTCTGTGGAATTGTAACAGATGGATTATAAAGATGATTCCATGATAAACATGTAAATGTGGTTACTACCTTCTGTGCTTTCTTGGTTCATATTTTTATTGTTTTTTTCTTTATAAACAGATAATTTATTCTTATCTATGGCAATGCAAACTTTTCAGATGTATTGAATATGTCATAGTGTTTTTCTATTGTAGGCATCTCTAAAAAAGTTATAGAAAACAAACAGAGAAAAGTCTGGTGTTGGAAAGGAGAGAGAAATAAAGCTTGTAAAGGAATGAAGATTAGAGCTTTCTGGAGATAAAAATTCTTAGAAGATACAAAAGCTAGTTACTGAATTAGATGAAGGTTCTTTTTCAGTTTTTCCCAGTTGTTCACCTCTTAGAAGGCACATATTCACAGCAGAAAAGAAAAATGTGTTAAAAAGAAAATACCTCGGTGTAGTGAGACTGTAATTTCATGAGGGCATTACTGAAGACTCACTTTTTCCAGCATCACTCAGCATGGTATTATGCATGTGTGTAATGTAAAGGAAAGTGAATACGCATTCTTGGATGGGTGATCAAATCGTAATTCCAGAATATAATCAGAAGCTGATTCATTATCCTCTTGAGATTTCACAATCTTTTCATCAGGAATTAAAATTCAGAAGAGGGTAAATGTATCTAATCAGTTGAAAGTTAAAAATTAGAGGATGGAGGCAACATGGCCGAATAGGAACAGCTCCAGTCTACAGCTGCCAGCGTGAGTGATGCAGAAGACAGGTGATATCTGCATTTCCAACTGAGGTACCAGGTTCATCTCACTGGGGAGTGCTGGACAGTGGGTGCAGCGCACCATGCATGAGCCAAAGCAGGGAAAGGCATCACCTCACCTGGGAAGCAGAATGGGTCAGAGAATTCCCTTTCCTAGTCAAAGAAAGGGGTGACAGATGGCACCTGGAAAATCAGGTCACTCCCACCCTAATACTGCGCTTTTCCAACAGGCTTATCAAATGGCACACCAGGAGATTGTATCCAGCACCTGGCTTGGAGGATCCTACACCCACGGAGCCTCGCTGTTTGCTAGCACAGCAGTCTGAGATCAAACTGCAAGGTTACAGTGGGGCTGGGGGAGGGGCGCCCGCCATTGCTCAGGCTTGAGTAAGTAAACAAAGCAGCCAGGAAGTTCGAACTGGGTGGAGCCTAACACAGCTCAAGGA
This sequence comes from Homo sapiens, assembly GCF_000001405.40. Taxonomy (NCBI): domain Eukaryota; kingdom Metazoa; phylum Chordata; class Mammalia; order Primates; family Hominidae; genus Homo; species Homo sapiens. The sequence continues at coordinate 168,684 of NT_187513.1, read as the reverse complement.
GGCCAGCCTGCCTCTGTAGGCTCCACCTCTGGGGGCAGGACACAGACAAACAAAAGACAGCAATACCCTCTGCAGACTTAAATATCCCTGTCTGACAGCTTTGAAGAGAGTAATGGTTCTCCCAGCATGCAGCTTGAGATCTGAGAACGGGCAGACAGCCTCCTCAAGTGGGTTCCTGACCCCTGAGTAGCCTAACTGGGAGGCACCCCCCAGTAGAGGCAGACTGACATCTCACATGCCCGGGTACCCCTCTGAGTCAAAACTTTCAGAGGAACGATCAGGCAGCAGCATTTGCAGTTCACCAATATCCACTGTTCTGCAGCCACCGCTGCTGATACCCAGGCAAATAGTGTCTGGAGTAGACCTCCAGTAAACTCCAACAGACCTGCAGCTGAGGGCCCTGACTGTTAGAAGGAAAACTAACAAACAGAAAGGACATCCACACCAAAACCCCATCTGTATGTCACCATCATCAAGGACCAAAGGAAGATAAAACCACAAAGATGGGAAAAAACAGAGTAGAAAACCTGGAAACTCTAAAAATCAGAGTGCCTCTCCTCCTGCAAAGGAATGCAGCTCCTCACCAGCAATGGAACAAAGCTGGACGGAGTATGACTTTGACGAGTTGAGAGAGAAAGGCTTCAGAAGATCAAAGTACTCCGAGCTAAAGGAGGAAGTTCGAACCAGTGGCAAAGAAGTTAAAAACTTTGAAAAAAAATTAGACGAATGGATAACTAGAATAACAAATGCAGAGAAGTCCTTAAAGGACCTGATGGAGCTGAAAACCATGGCACAAGAACTACATGACAAATGCATAAGCCTCAGTAACCGATGTGATCAACTGGAAGAAAGAGTATCAGCGATGGAAAACGAAATGAATGAAATAAAGCATGAAGAGAAGTTTAGAGGAAAAGGAATAGAAGAAATGAACAAAGCCTCCAAGAAATATGGGACTATGTGAAAAGACCAAATGTATGTCTAATTGGTGTACCTGAAAGTGACGGGGAGAATGGAACCAAGTTGGAAAACACTCTGCAGGATATTATCCAGGAGAACTTCCCCAATCTAGTAAGGCAGGCCAACATACAAATTCAGGAAATACAGAGAATGCCACAAAGATACTCCTCGAGAAGAACAACTCCAAGACACATAATTGTCAGATTCACCAAAGTTGAAATGAATGAAAAAATTTTAAAGGCTGCCAAGAGAAAGGTCAGGTTACCCACAAAAGGAAGCCCATCAGACAATCTGCTGATCTCTCCTCAGAAACTCTACAAGCCAGAAGAGAGTGGGGGCCAATATTCAACATTCTTAAAGAAAAGAATTTTCAACCCAGAATTTCATATTCAGCTAAACTAGGCTTCATAAGTGAAGGAGAAATAATATACTCCACAGACAAGCAAATGCTGAGAGATTTTGTCACCACCAGGCCTGCCCTAAAAGAGCTCCTGAAGGAAGCACTAAACATGGAAAGGAACAACTGGTACCAGCCACTGCAAAAACATGCCAAATTGTAAAGACCATCAAGGCTAGGAAGAAACTGCATCAACTAACGAGGAAAATAACCAGCTAACATCATAATGACAGGATCAAATTCACACATAACAATACTAAGCTTAAATGTAAATGGGTTAAATGCTCCAATTAAAAGGCACAGACTGGCAAATTGGATAAAGAGTCAAGACCCATCAGTGTGCTGTATTCAGGAAACCCTTCTCACCTGCAGAGACACACATAGGCTCAAAATAAAGGGATGGAGGAAGATCTACCAAGCAAATGGAAAACAAAAAAAGGCAGGGGTTGCAATCCTAGTCTCTGATAAAACAGACTTTAAACCACCAAAGATCAAAAGAGACAAAGAAGGCCATTACATAATGGTAAAGGGATCAATTCAACAAGAACTAACTATCCTAAATATATATGCACACAATACAGAAGCACCCAGATTCATAAAGCAAGTCCTTAGTGATCTCCAAAGTGACTTAGACGCCCACAAAATAATAATGGGAGACTTTAACACCCCACTGTCAACATTAGACAGATCAACGAGACAGAAAGTTAACAAGGATATACAGGAATTGAACTCAGCTCTGCACCAAGCAGGCCTAATAGACATCTACAGAACTCTCTATCCCAAATCAATGGAATATGTATTCTTTTCAGCACCACACCACACCTATTCCAAAATTGACCACATACTTGGAAGTAAAGCACTCCTCAGAAAATGTAAAAGAACAGAAAGTATAATAAACTGTCTCTCAGACCACAGTGCAATCAAACTACAACTCAGGATTAAGAAACTCACTCGAAACCACTCAACTACATGGAAACTGAACAACCTGCTCCTGAATGACTACTAGGTACATAAGGAAATGAAGGCAGAAATAAAGATGTTCTTTGAAACCAACAAGAACAAAGACACAACATACCGGAACCTCTGGGACACATTCAAAGCAGTGTGAAGAGGGAAATTTACAGCACTAAATGCCCACAAGAGAAAGCAGGAAAGAAATAAAATTGACATCTTAACATCACAATAAAAAGAACTAGAGAAGCAAGAGCAAACACATTCAAAAGCTAGCAGAAGGCAAGAAGTAACTAAGATCAGAGCAGAACTGAAGGAAATAGAGACACAAAAAACCCTTCAAAAAATCAATGAATACAGAAGCTGTTTTTTGAAAAGATCAACAAAATTGACAGACCACTAGCAAGACCAATAAAGAAGAAAAGAGAGAAGAATCAAATAGATGCAATAAAAATTGACAAAGGGGATATCACCACCAATTCCACAGAAATACAAACTACAATCAGAGAATACTATTAACACCTCTACACAAATAAACTAGAAAATCTAGAAGAAATGGATAAATTCCTTGACACATATACTCTCCCAAGACTAAACCAGGAAGAAGTTGAACCTCTGAATAGACAAATAACACTCTCTGAAATTGAGGCAATAATTAATAGCTTACCAACCAAAAAAAGTCCAGGACCAGATGGATTCAAAGCCGAATTCTACCAGTGGTACAAGGAGGAACTGGTACAATTCCTTCTGAAACTATTCCAATCAATAGAAAAAGAAGGAATCCTCCCTAACTCATTTTATGAGGCCAGCATCATCCTGATACCAAAGCCTGGCAGAGACAAAACAAAAAAAGGAGAATTTTAAACCAATATCCTTGATGAACATTGATGCAAAAATCCTCAATAAAATACTGGCAAACCAAATCCAGCAACACATAAAAAAGCTTATCCACCATGATCAAGCGGGTTTCATCCCTGGGATGCAAGGCTGGTTCAACATATGAAAATCGGTCAATGTAATCCAGCGTATAAACAGGACCAAAGACAAAAAACACATGATTATCTCAATAGATGCAGAAAAGGCCTTTGACAAAATTCAGCAAACCTTCATGCTAAAAACTCTCAATAAATTAGGGATTGATAGGATGTATCTCAAAATAATAAGAGCTATCTATGACAAACCCACAGCCAATATCATACTGAATGGGCAAAAACTGGAAGCATTCCCTTTGAAAACTGGCACAAGATAGGGATGCCCTCTCTCACCACTCCTATTCAACATAGTGTTGGAAGTTCTGGCCAGGGCAATCAGGAAGGAGAAGGAAATAAAGGGCATTCAATTAGGAAAAGAGGAAGTCAAATTGTCCCTGTTTGCAGATGACATGACTGTGTATGTGGAAAACCCCATCGTCTCAGCCCAAAATCTCCTTAAGCTAATAAGCAACTTCAGCAATGTCTCAGGATACAAAATCAATGTGCAAAAATCACAAGCATTCTTATACACCAATAACAGACAAACAGGGAGCCAAATCATGAGTGAACTCCCATTCACAATTGCTTCAAAGAAAATAAAATACCTAGGAATACCACTTACAAGGGAAGTGAAGGATCTCTTCAAGGAGAACTACAAACAACTGCTTAATGAAATAAAAAAGGATACAAACAAATGGAAGAACATGCCATGCTCATGGGTAGGAAGAATCAATATCGTGAAAATGGCCATACTGCCCAAGGTAATTTATAGATTCAATTCCATCTCCATCAAGCTACCAATGACTTTCTTCACAGAATTGGAAAAAAACTACTTTAAAGTTCATATGGAACCAAAAAGAGCCCACATTGCCAAGTCAATCCTAAGCCAAAAGAACAAAGGTGGAGGCATCATGTTACCTGACTTCAAACTATACTACAAGGCTACAGTAACCAAAACAGCATAGTACTAGTACCAAAACAGAGATATAGACGAATGGAACAGGACAGAGCCCTCAAAAATAATGCCACATATCTACAACTATCTGATCTTTGACAAACCTGACAAAAACAAGAACTAGGGAAAGGATACCCTATTTAATAAATGGTGCTGGGAAAACTGGCTAGCCATATGTAGAAAGCTGAAACTGGATCCCTTCCTTACACCTTATACAGAAATTAATTCACGATGGATTAAAGACTTACTTGTTAGACCTAAAACCATAAAAACCCTAGAAGAAAAACCAGGCAATACCATTCAGGACATAGGCATGGGCAGAGACTTCATGTCTAAAACACCAAAAGCAATGGCAACAAAAGCCAAAATTGACAAATGGGATCTAATTAAACTAAGGAGGTTCTGCACAGCAAAAGAAACCACCATCAGAGTGAACAGGCCACCTACAGTATGGGAGAAAAGTTTTGCGACCTCCTTATCTGACAAAGGGCTAATATCCAGAATCTACAATGAACTCAAACAAATTCACAAGAAAAAAACAAACAACCCCATCAAAATGTGGGCAAAGGAAATGAACAGACACTTCTCAAAAGAAGACATTTTGCAGCCAAAAGACACATGAAAAAATGCTCATCATCACTGGCCATCAGAGAAATGCATATCAAAACCACAATGAGATACCATCTCACACCAGTTAGAATGGCCATCATTAAAAAGTCAGGAAACAACAGGTGCTGGAGAGGATGTGGAGAAATAGGAACACTTTTACACTGTTGGTGGGACTGTAAACTAGTTCAACCATTGTGGAACTCGGTGTGGTGATTCCTCAGGGATCTAGAACTAGAAATACCATTTGACCCAGCCATCCCATTGCTGGGTATATACCCAAAGGATTAAAATCATGCTGCTATAAAGACACAAGCACATGTATGTTTATTGTGGCACTATTCACAATAGCAAAGACTTGGAGCCAACACAAATGTCCAACAATGATACATTGGATTAAGAAAACGTGGCACATATAAAACATGGAATACCATGCAGCCATAAAAAATGTTGAGTTCATGTCCCTTGTAGGGACATGGATGAAGCTAGAAACCATCATTCTCAGCAAACTATTGCAAGGAAAAAAACCAAACACCACATGTTCTCACTCATAGGTGGGAATTGAACAATGAGAAAACATGGATGCAGGAAGGGGAACATCACACACTGGGGACAGTTGTGGGGTGGGGGAAGGGGGGAAGGATAGCATTAGGAGATATACCTAATGTTAAATGACGAGTTAATGGGTACAGCACACCAACATGGCCCATGTATACATATCTAACAAACCTGCACGTTGTGCACATGTACCCTAAAACTTAAAATATAATAATAAAAAAAATTAACAGGAGACTTTTATACAGATAAATTTGCTTTGCATCATGATCAGCACTAAAGAGCATCATAGATTTAAACCATATTTTCACAGTTAAAACAATGTAACCAAATATGCAATATATTATGTAACATTCTACAAGATGTTTTCAAACATGCAAACTGACCTTTAAAACAATTTTGCATAAAATAACATTTCTAGGTAAGAGAAAATACAGACATGTGGTTAGGGCAAAATATTTCTGTTCAAATTACAAAATACTGAATGACAAATCACAGGATAGAAAAGAATTATATTGTACCTGGAATTTGAAGTCTTCAAATTTATTTAGGTATATGTATCTATATGTATTAATAGAGACATATTTAACTGATTATAAGTTTAGAACATTTATATTTTAAAGATGTCATTCTTTAAAAATTATTAATATCTACAGGATTGATACAGATATTTTAATTTTAAACAAATATTTTTCACTAATGTGACCAGCATTTATGTCCTATTTCATTAAACAGACATTTCAAGATTTTTTAGAGTTAATTTTTAAAAATTAAGTATCACAAATATTTCTGAAGTACTACCTTAAAAAATAAAACTCTTTCCTAGCTTTTCATATAGTTAAACATTTTCATAATGACTAAAAAGATAAAAATAAATTAGCAACCATAATTAAATTAGAATTCTACTTTTTATATCAGATGAAATACTACATAAAATGTCCAGAAAATCTAGTGTTAATGAGGCTGTGCAGCCTGGACATTTGATGTCTCATCTGTGGGAATGTGAACTAACCCAACCATTCTGAATAATTATTGACTCTGTGTGTTAACAGTCTAGAGTCCTGAAACAAGGATCTTAATTCTAAAATAAAATCCTATTCTAAGAATATACCAAGGGTTGATAATCAAGGAAGTTTCAAAGTTATAGAGAAGAACCTTCATCCTAGCATTATATATGTAATCATCCATATAAACCACATAGTGTTGAATGAAATTACAGAAAAACAAAGAGCCTACAGAATATGTTTCTCTTTGTGTACAACAGTAAATGTACACATCTATCCATGTAAAATTTTACATCTCAGGAAGATAGGTACCAACATGTTAACATGCTATATCTATAAGATAAGAAATTTTACTTTCCTACAATTTCATACACACACACACACACACTCTCAAACATACATACCCACACACCGAGGATATATACACACACAAATATATATATAAACATACATGTTTATATAGGTACACACACACATACATATACACAGATGGTCAACAAATTATAATGGTTCAATTTATGATTTATTTACTTTATGATGAAGCAAAAGTGATAGCTTTGAATAGAATATAACCATTCTGCTTTTCACTTTCAGTACAATATTCAACAAATTACATAAAATATCCAAAACTTTATTATAAAGTGGGTTTTGTATTCAATGATTTTGCCCAATTGTCAGCTGATGTAAGTGTTCTGAGCACATTAAAGGTATGCCAGGCTAAGCTGTGATATTCAGTAAGTTAGGTATTAAATACATTTTTAACTTACTGTATTTTCAATTTATAATCAGCTTATCAAGACTTAACCCCATTGTACATTGAAAAGCATTTGTATTGCATTAAACATGTTATATATATTTTTAATTGAAATTACTGGCAACTTTTGAAAAAATGTAATGAAATAATGTGCTTTGCTATTGGTTAAAATGTTTTTGGGCAGGGTCAGTGGCTTACACCTGTAATCCCAGCACTTTGGTAGGCTGAGGTGGGCAGATCGCTTGAGGTCAGGAGTTTGAGACCAACCTGGCAAACAGGGTGAAACCCCATCTCTACTAAAAATACAAAAATCATCTGAGTGTGGTGGCATGTGCCTGTAATCCCAGCTACTAGGGAGGCTGAGGTGTGAGAATTGCTTGAACTAGGCAAGCAGAGGTTGCAGTGAGCCAAGATCATGCCACTGCACTCCAGCCTGGGCAACTGAGTAAGATTCTGTCAAAAAAAAAAAAAAAAAAAGAAGGAAAGAAAAGAAAAAAAGTTTTCAGCTTCAAGTAACAGAATAGTCAACTAATTAAAGAAAAAAACAAGGAGCAACTTTTACCAAATCGCACAACAAATAGATGGTATCAATGCTTACTTAATTCAACATGATCCACTTTGTGATTCTCTTATCTTTCTACCTATGTTTTCAAGATGGCTATGGCATTCCCAGCCTTACAACTTCATGTGACAAAATCCAATGGCAGGAAATAATAAGTGACGGCATTTTGGAACTTTAAGGAAAAACTTTAAGGATTGGAAAACAGGGATGCCATATGTCCAGTAACATGGGATAGCCGTTCCTAATTAAGGATTGCTGTATGTCCTGAATGACTTTCTAATGTAATGAAGGTGAATAACCTGCTTTGTTTAATTATACAATCCCAAATGTAACTGCCTAAGTGCCAAGTACTTTTGCATGGTTTTAATATGCCATGAATTTTGCAAGAATGAAACTACTATGTATATGAGAAAAGATGGTAGATTTTTTCATTTAGATACTCATTTCAGAGTCTCAATAGGAAAAATAGAACACACACAAACTAAGATAATTTAACATGGGTTTATTTCCAAAGAGACTACTTACGAAAATGTCAGCGGAGAAGGGTGAAGGAATCACAGAAATCACACCCCACAATAACTCTGGGTTAGTAGCAGCAGGCAGAGTTCTGGGGAGTAAACTTCCCTGATCATGCAAGGAAACACTAATTTTCTTATGAAAAAGATTGGTCAAGGAGACCTAGCAGAGAGGGAGTTTAGGCAATAACCCCCAATCCCATTTCCTCCTTCCCTTTAATCTCATGAACATGCATAGAAGGCAATGAGCAAGGGAACAGATTGAGATATTCAATATGGACCATTCCACTTGGACAAAAGCCAGTAAATAGGGGAGTATAACAGGGGACAAGGGCCAAACAGAAAGTATCTATTACATTTACCAATGCAGATCAATCATGTCAAAAACAGAAATGGCAGTTTTGGCATTTGGTTATTCAATGAAACTATATTTGTAGCTTTTTATTTACAATGTTTCAAGGTATGGGCGAAGATATGAAAATTTCATTATGTTCTATTTTATTTGATATGTAAATGTTCTGGCACAATTATATACATTTTGGATCATATATTGACAGTAAATTATTTCTCCTTTGTTAGCTTCAGCATAACATTAATATTTTCAACAACTTGAATGCATACATTGTGTTCTCACTAATAGTTTAGAATAGTGAAGGGGTCTTTGAAGAATTTCTTATGAAGTAGAGGCATTGGGTCAGACAGAGCCGAAAACCATTGGCTTAGATTAATCACTATTTATCCTAGGGCTGAAGAGGGCCAATTGAAGACACAAATGTCCAATCCCTTTATGACCTTGGAGTTCTATGAACCAGAGAAATAGAGACTGGTTCTTAAGGAGGTAATAAGTGTGCCTTCTATGGTTTATAATAATATGCATTGTCTTAACAATCGAATACTTAAAAGTTAATGCCCTCATAATATGCAAAATTTTTAATAAGCACATTGGTCCCTGTGTTCAAGTAGTTGGTAATCAAATTAGCGAAGTATGGTAAGTCTTTTGAAGAGCATTAAACAGCAGAGAATGTAAGAAATTTGTCTCTATAATAGTGTGGGCCTTCTGTGTTTCCTAAGGGCACATTCATATGATCTAATAACTGAGCAGAGAGAAGCCTAAAGGATAGTTTTTGGTTTCATTTGTTTGTTTTTCCAATTAACATACATTTCTAGATTAAAGGTCAACTATCTTTTCCTTGGGAGTCAACTATAGGAGAAGATAGTGAAGAGGCAAGGAAAATTACAGCAGCTCAACAGCTTTACCCTGGAAATATCTGTATTGTGTACCGCTATAGCCTACCTTTATCAGTCAGATAACAATGTCAAAGAGGCAAGCTTGGCACCATTGCTCTTAGTGAATCCCTGCTGCCAGCCTTTTATCCTAAGTGCTCTCCAAAGACCCATTTAATGGACCTTCCTGAAATTGTGCTCAGGATCAATATGAGGCTCATTGATACAGCATTTTTGGAACTCACCATTTGCTTATTTATTAAACCTGGGATAGTTGCCCGACTTCTATCATCTGAAATCCTCTCCATGACTTTCAAAGTTACCAACATTGGTTCCAACATCATTCCTAGAAAACATTTCAGTGGAGTATATTTATCTGACATTTGACTGTATTTATAGCAGTAAGAATCTATGGTGATTCCTCCCAAAATAATCCCACAATTACACATTTTGGGTCACCTTGAGGGTCTTATCCTTAATATCAGAGATCTGTTCTATACATTTGAGTCTTAGAAATAATTACTAGCTTCTCTCTGAATTTAACTGAGGTTCCTTACTTTTATTCAGCCTGTTACCTAAATTACATAATGTATTGAAGGCTATAAACTGTCCAAATTTCTGATTACATTGAGTTAAAAATGGGAATATGACTTTCTTTTTCTAACTTGGCAAAGATTATGTTTTTTTCATGAAGAAATATAGGCATATTTAAACACTCAGGATCTGAGAATTTGAAATACATGAAACTTAGCAAGTGGTCTTTAAGTAGTTTTCATTTCTAAATTATAGTACATACCATTGAATGCTACAGAAGGAAAGACAATGAGGGATTACTCATAAACATTGCCTTTATGATATCCTTCCAAAGAAAACCAAGTGTCCCTGTGCTTGGACTCATAAAGCAGAAATGCTTACCTTGCTTTTATGTCACTAACAAACAATTGTGCCTAGTCATTTAATTCTAACGCATTTAAGCCATCTAGAGAGTGGAGCCCCTAGGGAAAACTACAAATGGAAAATTCATTGATTTTTGATTTTGCTTTCCTATGGATTAAATTTAACACTTTCTTGTAAATCTCTCCCTTTACAGATCATATGTGATAAATAGTTATCCAACTTTCTAGATGTCCACCCAGAGCTGCTTCCATATGAAGAGGTGGAAACGGATTCTGTGCATGATACTGGTTAGGATCGGGAACTGTTTTTTTTTAAAGGAGATTTTTAAAATTTGTTTTCCTTGTACACATAGCCTTAATATTGTGTTGCTAACTGCCCTCTGGGAACAAAGTCATACCAATCACAAATACATTGCCTAAAGTGGGATGGTTATTACTCTGCTGTGAATTGCACCTCCTATTATGTTTTAAAGATGCTACAAACTTGAGACATTACTATGTAGATGACATTCCCAGCAAATCCCCAAACAACACTTAATGAGATTTCAAATACCAGGATCATGAAACAGTAAGAGATATAAGGAAATAAAGAAAAACACAGTATATGTGTAGAAGGCATTAAAACACAAATTTTATAATTACGAATGCATATAATAAGGAATAAGTTTTATTCTAAATAGCAATTATATCAGAACTACGATACAGGGAATAAAAGTGAATATTAAGCCATTGTACCAACAATAACAGAGCCCCTTTTCTGCTGCGTGATGGAATTTAGTGTTTACTAAGGAAGAAAAAAATGCAAGATATCTTAAATTTGGTACTTTCCAACAAATTTAAGAAATGTGTACACACTTGAGGAGACTTAAGAAGTCTCTGACTAAAACACTAGAAAAGAAAAGCAGTGAAAAACCAAATAAGTATTACTCAACAATAACAACATTTGTTACTATTATATTAATATTAAACACACTATTAAGCAACAACATTTCAGTTACTCACTGAGCCCAAAGTCATTTTTCATGAACCATTCACAACACTGATAACCTATTGAAAAATGATTGAAAACAAAAAAGCTTATTTCTTTCCAAGTCCTTTTAAAGCCTTCTCATGTGTCATTTCATATAATCCTTATAACAAATCTATGGAGTATATACTGACTTTATCTCTGTACAGAAAAGAAAACTGAATCACATTCAGAATAAGTTGCAAAGATCCCCAGATAATCAGTGTCATAGGTGAAATATGATGTCACAGTGTACTCAAGAGTAATTTAGGGAAGCAGTACAAATGATGGTTGAAAGCACAGGTTCTGGGGTAAATAGCCTGAAGTCAAAATCTAGTTCATATCCTCAGTGGCTGTGTGATCTTGGGAAATTTCCCTTAACTCTCTGTGTCTTGATTTTATAGTTTCATCCATTTTTGCCTCTCATATGATCTGGTGAGCGTTACACTAGTTTATGCTTCTAGGACACTGAAAACAGTGCCTGGCTCTTGATAAATATTAACAATTTTGTTTCATTTTCTTCACCTTGAGTATTTCATGGCCAGATGGAAATCAATGTCAATATGAAAAAATGTTCATAATTCAGCAGGAAGAAATACAAAACCATATAAACAACTTTGTTTTATTGGCAAGTGTATTTGGAAGCTATGTTAAATTGAGAAGGGGAAGGGAAAGCCTCTAAGGATATCGATTAATCAATGACTGAAAGCTGATGAGACTTGTCTGGAATTTTTTTTTTGGAGACTCTGAGACTTAAAATTTTGACAAAATAAGGAGATGAATTGAGTAGTGTGGAAGAGACATTTTCTGAAGTCAGCAGAGAAAGGAGAGACAAATATGGTAAGGGGAAAATGGTATGAAGTAATAATATGAATGAAGTGCTTTCTAAAGTATAACACATGTAAGTTGTGTTAAATGTAAACTATCATGATTATATCATTACTGTCTGACTGATACAACTATATCCACCTCAGTTAGCCACATAAGATCAATTTTCCTATATCTTAGAGAATACCAGTAACCTCCAGTTCAGAAACAGCATAAATATCTATCCACAGCTGAGCAGACACATACAGCTAGCTACCAGATGAAATGGGCTATATCTTCAAATACTATTGTTTTCCATTTTTTAACTGTGGCAAAACACACTCAACAATTTGCATCTTAACCACTGTTAAGTATACAATTCAGTGTCATTAAATGTATTCACAATGTTGTGCAAGCATCACCACCACCCATCTCCATAATTCTTTTTGTCTTGTAAAATTGAAATCCTGTACCCATTAAAAAGTGACTCCCCATTCCCCGCCCTCCCAGGGCAACTACAGCTTTACTTTCTGTCTTGATGAATCATACAATATCAAATGGAATTTTTAAGATATTTAAAATCTTTTGTCTGGAAGCGAAGTGGAAGTTAATATCAATGGCTATGCCTTCAGTGAGTTCTCAGACCACATTGCAATGTAGTTAACTATTTATCTTTTATTACGTTCTAGACCTATTATTTCTTTCTGGCACAAAAATATCTTCTTTGTAGATTATGGCATTTACCTCTATCTCCACACCTTTCTGCGTCTGTCATCCACAGATCATCAGCCTCTTGCTTAGTCTCCATTTAATGACAATTTCTATTTAGTATACAAGAGTCCTTCCCCCCGCAATGCAATTTCTTCACTCTGAAAAGCTCTGACTCTGGCTACTGGTCTCTGTTATGTACTCATCCCTAGAGCCATGTCTTCAAATATTTCTCAGAACTTCTTCACATCTAAAAATCTAGGATTAATGTATTGCTCTCTGATTATATTCTTCTGGTATTTCAAGTATCCTGTATAACTTCTTCATCTGCCCTTGCTTTTCTTCTACATCAAGATGTCAAGTTCATGGACTTCCCAATTAATCATTTTAAAAATTTATTTCAAGCCTTTATGAGTCACTACAATGTACATATGTTCTCAGGAATTATGACCCTACAATTTGTATATGAGAATAGTTCCTGTGTCAGGCATTATGGACATAAGAGTAAATAAATTCTAGCCCCTGCCTACAAGGAGCTAATTCCCAGCCTAAGACAGATTGTAAGCCAATAATATGTAGAGTTGTAAGTCTAAGGAAACTGATTGGGATGTACCTAATTCGAGCTGGGAATATCAGAAGAAAAACTTTTTGAAAGTCATGAGACATGAGCTGTGCCTAAAAGAATAAAAATAGAGTGAGAAATAAGAATAAATAAATTAGGGAATGAGATGGGTATAATAGTAGAAAAAGGAAATCTCTTTAGATAAAACAGGTTATGAGAGTATATAGGAGGCTTATTAACTCAGTGTGGTTGGAGAAAACAGGTTGAAAGGAGAAATAGGGGAGAAAGTTCCAAAGGGAATCAAATGTGTTAGTAGTTGAGGGAAAAGCAAATATTGAATACGACCCATAGATCTTGGATAACCCAGTGTTTGGTAGTAGCTTACATAAAAGGTTGTGACAAAATAACCAGAGATATGTGGAGAAAATAATAACTGAGTGTTATATTTCCTCTCAGTAGAAACCTAAAAAAAAAAAATGTAATCACATACTGATCTTTTAACTGACCTCCACTTATCTTGCTGCCTGGATTGGTATATATAGTCCTCTGCCTGAAAAATTGCTCAACACTTTTGAAAGGTTGTTTCTCACTGTTACTCCCAGGCATTTCTGCTAACACCAGCTGAGTTGTAAGGGGCCCTCCAGGAGGCCTAGGTTGTTCTCCTTATCACATATATTATTTTCATTTATCAATTTACCCAGAACATCTAATGAAATATTATGGACACCAATAACATGAATACAAATACAGCTATAGTCCCTAAAAAGTAAATTGATGTCTCTTGAAAGACTGTCATGTCTTAGATGCTAAATTTGGAGTATGTGTTTCTAATAAATAAATAGCTTGCTTTAATAATTCTGATTTATGAATGTAATATAGGGGAGCAGCTTTTATTTCATCCTTAATCTTAAAAAACAATTAGCCGGGTGTGGTGGCGGGCACCTGTAGTCCCAGCTACTCAGGAGGCTGAAGCAGAAGGATGGTGTGCACCTGGGAGGCGGAGCTTGTTGTAAGCCAAAATTGTGCCACTGCACTCCAGCCTGAGTGACAGTGTGAGACTCTGTCTCAAAAAAAAAAAAAGATCATACAAGGAGTAAATGATGATTTAGCATAAAACACAACTTGAGCCTAAAACACAGATCATAGGGCTCAAACTTTGTTATTTTATGGGATTATACTAACCAGTTAATATTCAAAATTTACCATTTCAAAAGAAGAAATATTGGTCTGGGAAAATTGCCATTGCTTATACAGAAGAATGGAGGAATCTTTTTGAGAACAACAATTCTAATGATCTTCTTCATCACTGGTTCCAAAACCAAGCCCATGGAAGGCCTGCATAGGGATAATGTGGAGAACATGCAAAAGAAATACACATCACCAGCTCCTCAACTCAGAGCTCCAAGGGAATGGCCAAGGAAGCTGTATTGTCCTAAGAAATTTGAGACTGTTTTGACTTACAATAAATCCTGCTCAATCATATGTATGTATACACACACACACACACACACACACACACACACACAGACGGTGTTGTCAGTGAAGCCTCTAACATTGCATCTTGACTGGACAGATTTGACAATTAAAATGGCTGGAAGAAAATAGGCTTCATAAGTGTCACTTACTATTCACATTACACATTAAAAGGACATCTCCTAAATTAAATCTTGTCTATGATAAAAAGGCAGAAAATCATGACCCAAGGCTCATTTATAACTGCAGAAATGTTCAAGATAGACCAATGCTTGCTATGTTTAGGAAGTGACAAGAAAGTACAGGTCTTTATAATCTACCATTTTGCCCCTTTTGATACCAGGTGCCCTTCATAATGCAGGCTATAGAGAATTACAAGATTTGTCAGAGATTTCAGGTCTTTGGAAAGCTATGCTCTTTCACAAGAACAGCCATGGAAACAGGAAGAAAGTCAATTCCCACTTAAGGTAATCAGAATTTACAAATATTCCTTTCTTCATTGAAATCTCAATAGGCACTTCGATATTATATTTAATTAATTCTTTTGTTACAATCATGCATCACATAACAACATTTTGGTCAAGGATAGTGCACTTGTATGACAGTGGTGCAATAAAATCATAACACTGTATTTGTACTGTACCTCTTGTATGTTTAGACATGTATAGATACACTTACTGTATAGATATAAGTAAGTATAGATATACTTAACTGTTGTGTTACAATTGCCTACAGTATTCAGTACAGTAATATGCTGCACAGTTTTGTAGCCTAGGAGGAATAGGCTATACCACCTAACCTAGGTATGTAATCAGCTATAGCATCTAGGTTTGTGTAAGTAAACTCTGTGATGTTCATACAATAATAAAATTGTCCAGCAATGCATTTCTCAGACACACCCCTGTCATTAAGTGACACATGACTGTATTAGTTAACACTATGGGAACTTCATGGGAAATGGACACTCTAGCTCCACCATAAATAGAAACTGTTTATGTCAAAAAACACATAAAAGCATAGTTGCAAGATTACAATTCCTTCCAGATATTTCATTTAGTATCTCCACAGATCACTAACTTCCTGAATAGCATTCTTCTGTCTCCACTGCCTCACATTTGATTTCAGGTCATTCCATCAATTGTCAAAGACGCATCCAACATTAACTTTCCAACTACTGGTTTGGATTGTGTCAACATTGTCATTCTGGGCCACAACAACACAAAAGGCTAACTCAGTGAGGTAACATAGACACTGATCAGTGAGATTTTGCTGATGGGTGGTACCATTTTTTACCAAGATCAAGGGTATTCATACCTTCAGGCATCTAGATAACATTGAAAAGGGCAGGTTCATAGATAAAAAGGGAAAGAGGAAGGGTTTTTGCAGTATATATGAGCTACCATGTCTCCTGTTTAACCTGAGTCTGAAGAGATTCAAAGTGCAGGTGCCATGAATGCCTCTTTAATAGCTCCATGTCGATTGATTTTCTGGGCTACACTTCACAGCATTCAAATTGCTAAATGCATATAAACTACTAGTGGATATTTATTACCTGGATTTGTGCTTCTGAGTGACCTTATCTATAGTTATGTGCTTCAGTGATCCAACTTGGGGTGCACTCCAAACTTTGATAAATTAAAGACCCTGCATATTCCTTGAGTAATGCTACACTGACAACTGATTTAGTGAATGCCACTGTGAAAATAATAAACCTCTTGGTGAATATATTTAGACATGTCTTGGAACCTGTACACATCTTAACCAGGGATGTTACTTGGTCTTTTTATGTTCAGGAGTGTCTGGAGATAGAAAAACATACAGGATTGTAATTGTTGCCTGTGAGACTAACAGAAAATTCAAGCTAGTGAAGTATGCTTATGCATGGCACACTTCTCACCAGCAATTTTAGGAAGTTCTACCCACAACCCATATGTCTTTTGATATGTGGGTTACCTTGGAGAGAGAAAAAGAAACTCTGAACACAAGCATGAAATACTTTCGAATTTTATCTAGAGTTGGACTTGTCCAAAAGCTTTTGTATAAACTTGCTTGATGAGGAACTGTTGTCCACTGGTACCTTCACCGTACAATCCACACACAACCAAACTTCACAACTGGACACCTAAATTTGCACTTTGTTTGGTAAAGTTGAATGAAAAATGTTGTCTTTTAAGCTTATGTTCTCTTATGAAAGCTGTTATTAGATTAATTTTACTCCAAGATATGCCAGTTAGGAAATAACTTCCCATTTAATTTCACCAGCTCCCTGTGGGTGGACTAATTACTCATACATCACACTTACTCTGGTGGTGAAATGCCTCAAAAGAAGGTCTCCAGAGTGTTGCTTTACCTAGAAGGACAAGAATGAAGAGACATAAAAATCATTCATTAAGAAGGAAGAAGATTTTCCTTGCCTAGATTTTCACTTGTAGGATGCAATTAATTTTATCACTTAATATTTTGTCATGGTGGGCATTCACTTTACAAATTTGTAAGGTCAGTAGAAATGGAAACTTTTGGAAATCAAACTGTAAATGTTCTGTAGACGTTGACAGAAATAGCTATTTGGAGCTGCGCTTTTGCCAACTAGACACTCTGAGAAAATCTGTGAGAGGATATTTTCAGGAAGTCATTGAACCCCCTAAAAATCAAGTTTATTGCTTTTACCATAAATATAAATAATTTATTTACTATCAACCACTTTCAATATTCGAATAAGTAACTTTATTGTTTATTTCATTGACATGATCTACATAGACATGCAATTTATCTTCTTTTGCGATACATTCAGAAAATTTGCTGCCTGAAAAAGCCATGTTTTGAAATTACCACCTGTTTGATGATTTTTTTTTTATACTTTAAGTTTTAGGGCACATGTGCACAACGTGCAGTTTAGTTACATATGTATACATGTGCCATGTTGGTGTGCTGCACCCATTAACTCGTCATTTAGCATTAGGTATATCTCCTAATGCTATCCCTACCCCCTCCCCCCACCCCGCAACAGGCCCTGGTGTGTGATGTTCCCCTCCCTGTGTGCATGGGTTCTCATTGTTCAATTCCCACCTATGAGTGAGAACATGCAGTGTTTCATTTCCACTTAAGTATCTATCTCTATTTGTCCTTTATTTTCACTTCCATCCTAGCTCTATCCCTTGTCTCCTTCGTGTGTCTCAGGATAAGTGCCCTATAACATTTTATACTTCTGGAAACCCTTCAATATAATGTTATTAGATGTAAAAATAAAAAGTCTGTTTTAGCGAACTCTTTCTTCACAAATTATCTTTTCCTAGTTCCCTATTAGACAATTTTTGTAGGCTCCATATGCTATTAATTTATATTCACTTTTAGAAGAATTTTCATCAAAAGCAAAAGTCTTATGTAAATTGTTTATATGCTATTTGTACTTCTGTGTATATATACACGCATAGCCACATACATATATGTAACTCCAGAGGCCTGCCTGGACTGTTAAATAACTGTATTGAACAAGAGCAAGAAAAAGCTTTTCAAATTTCAAACAACAAGTTGAACTGAAGAGCTCACATCTTTGAATGAAATAGACACTAGTAGCCTTTAAAAATTAAACATTTCTACTGTTTTAAAAAATTATAGGCATCATAGTATGAGGAAAAAATGTAATAATCCTTTTTAATTCTTGCCATTTTATTAACCACGGACTCCTTATGCCCTGACTTCATTGGTACCCCTTTGAGATTAAACAGAACAATTAATTTAAAATTCTGATAAATAAATAAATTACACCATTTACTTGAGGTACTCTTTCACCTTTCAAGAAATATTTTGAGAATTCATTAGCTAAATATTGCTATAATGCAGGCTAGTAATAAATAGAAATAATGATTTCATTGTAAAGTTTAAACTAATGATGGTATGATCTGGAATTTTTGTTAACCTAGAAGACATAATTAGCTCTACAGGTGAAATGAAAGACAAAATCACTTCACATATTAGTAAAAAACAAATAATATAACTTTATAAGCTACTGCTGTTCTTTTGCTGTTAAGAACCAATGACATCTGTAATTAGGGAAGATTATGGAAAGGTTAAAGGTGAGAATACATGCAGTCTATATACAGGAAACCCAAACTGTTTAGGTTAAGGAAATGTCTGCAAAAGTCATATTAATTAGCAGGTTCACAGGAAACTAACATTTATTGTATAAATTCCATGGTCAAATGTATTAGGGCTCCACGCACACAACTGTGCGCCATCTATGTTACCACACAGTGCTTACTTCTTTCAGTCTTTATTCATTTCTCTCCTAATGGTCTGTATGGTATTATTACATAGTTCTAAAAACCTTCCATGAGGCAGAAATTTCATTTAATGATACAGCTTCAAAAATAATGAAAACCAGTAGAAACTTTCTATTTTTTTATGAAGCAGAATTATTGAATTTTCAGTTTCATTTATTTAATGTTACAAGAGGACAAACATATTTCTTTAATTTCTTCTTGTTATTTTTGTCTAACATCAACCAAAGCCATTTCTTTCATTTGAAGGTGAAAACTGCCCATCAAAATCCAGTTTAAGCTGAGAAACAAAGAACTAAATTTTGCATGAGACATTATACACTGCATAAATATAAAACAGGACCAGAAACAATGGTAGATTAGCAATTTTTAAAAAGACAAAAGCAGGTTATCATCAAATCAATTGTTACCAACACCCCAATTCCACCTCTAGGCCAGAAAATTAGCCACTTACCCACGGGAAAACAATGATTGAAGACAAAGTTCACCAGTGAAAGTTGGTTATTTTTTTCCATCCTTGCATCAACTAAAATGATATCTACACTTCCTCTTAACACTTTTCTTACTTTCAAATATGTGGGTATGCTTCATTAGCTGAGGCCATGTTCCATATGTACATCTGGCTACAAGGGAAACTGGGAATGTGAGCCCTGATCCTAATGTTTGTAGAGTATTTAGAAGTTTGAGAATTCCCTCCAAATAAAGAGTTTTCTAAAACATTGTTAGACAAAAAGTTTGAATTACAAAATATGGTAGTAGCTCAGGTCTAAACCAAATGCAGGGAAAAAACTATTAACTCTAAAAAAATTAAATACACATTTGATGGTAATGAGAAACAGAAAACAGGCAGAAATAGTAGAATACTCCACTAATGATGAAGTATTTGACCATTGAATAAAGAAAATTGCAATGATTTAAATTTGCATCAAGGCAACTTCACACCTGATGACGCTTCCCAGTCTGTGCAAAATTAGATGTCTACGAGTAAAGCGGTGAGTTTTACTAGCTTGAGGAATAAGAGCACAGAGTTCCAGGCTGACAGAAAAGAGGAACTGGGAAATTTGAATGACATGGGAGGACATCTCACACAACTGAAAGTCACAGAGGAGAATATCACAGAGTAAAAATCTAAAATCAGCACTTCAACTTCATTCAAATATATGATGGCTGCTACATTTCACATTCATAAAAGGAGACTCCATAGAATCCAGCAGAAAACAACAGCTAAATTGCTAGTACAGAGCAGAGATTTCAACCATTGCATATAGCTCAGGAGTGAAAGTTTGGTGTTTGACTACGGAAAGAAGACTAATGTTAGAAAAGAGTCATTCTTCAAAGGAAAATAAACAAACCTATCTCTACAAAATATCATACACATAATCTAACATATAATTTAATCTGCCTAGACATAGAACCAGGAAAATATGACACATAACAAAAAAAGTAAACAATGGATTAAGACATTGAAATGGCCCACACGCTGGAATTAGAATATAAGAAATTTAAAATAAGCTATTATAAGCATATTCAAGGATTTAAGGAATAGATGGTCATAAGAGGGAATATATGGAGAATCTCAACAGAGAAGTAAAAATGATAAAGAGATAATAGGACAAATTTTAGAACTGAGAGACAGAGTATCTTATATAAAAATGTCATTTTATGTACATACCAGTAAATTAAAGATGGCACAAAAAATTATCAGTGCACTTAAAAACAGATCAAGAACAATTTCCCAATACAGTTAATACAAACGAAGAAAAATAATAAAAATAGGGCCAGTCTAGCACTAATATAATTGGAGTCCTAGAAAGAGTAGAGAAGTAAATGAGACAGAAAAAGCTATTTGAAAAAGTAAAGACCAAAAGTTTTCCTAATTGTCAGCATATATCAACTTACAGGTTTAAGAAACTCAAAGAACAGAATAAAAATAAAGAGAACCAAATGTAGACATACCATAGTCAAACCACTGGGCAAAAAAAAGAGTAAATCTTGAAAGTAGCTAAAGGGAGGGAGAAAATAATTTACATCCGTGGAAACAAATAGACAGATGACCTATCATCAGAAATGACACTTTAAAAAGCAATGAAACTACATCTTCAAAAGAAAACTGTCAACTCCAAATTCTATAACTAGATAAAGTAATTCTTGAGAAAAGAAAGATTTATTCAGATAAAAGAAAGCTTCAAACAATTGTCATTAGCAGACCAAGATACAAGAAATGCAAACGGAAATTTTTTAGGCTAAAGAAAGATAACAACAGACGGAAATTCTGACCTACAGGAAGCAAGGAGAAGCTCTAGGAATGGCATGTGCATAAACGTGAAAAACTAAGGCTTTTTTTTTTAGTTTTATAACAAACAACTGATGCTTTGAATAAAAAATTAAGTGTACTATTGATAATGTGTGTAAAATATTCTAAATTAATAGCTCTGACAGGAGACTAAACGCAACAATTTTGCCGCAACTTTTCCTTATGTTACATGAAAACGCTGACTATTAACACTAAGTGGACTGCGATAAGCCCAGGATGTTTATTATAATCCCTAGAGAACCACCACATTATATGAAGATATTCTTCTAAAATGCCAATAAAGGAATTAAAATGGAACGCTGAATATTGTTCAGTTAATATAAAAAGGCATGAAAGAAAGAGGAGCAAAAAATGATGGAGCAAATAGAACATAAGAGCAAAATAGGCTGGGCGCAGTGGCTCAGCCTGTAATCCCAGCACTTTGGGAGGCCGAGGCGGGTGGATCACGAGGTCAGGAGATCGAGACCATCCTGGCTAACACGGTGAAACGCCGTCTCTACTAAAAATACAAAAATTAGCCGGGCATGGCGGCGGGCACCTGTAGTACCAGCTACTCCGGATGCTGAGGCAGGAAAATGGCGTGAACCCAGGAGGCAGAGCTTGCAGTGAGCCGAGATCCCGCCACTGCACTCCAGCCTGGGTGACAGGGCCAGACTCCGTCTCAAAAAAAAAAAAAAAAAAAAAAATAGTAGGCTTAAATCCAACCTTTTCAGTAATTATTTCAAATGTAATTTAAATACTCCAAATAAAACACAGATTGTCAAACTGGATAATAAAAGTACCTATAAGAGATGCATGCCAAATATTATGGTATAGATAAGTTGAGAGTAAAATAATTTCCAAGTATACCAAGGAAACAACAAGGACAAGAAATCTTATGTGGCTATATTAATATAAGAAAAAGTAGACCTCCAAACGAGCAATATTACAACAGACAGCTATTTCATAATGACAAAATGTCAAGTAATTATGAAGACATAATGCTGTATTGCTGACAGAATAACTAAAGAAAATTAAGATAAAATAATTTTGACAACAGCTTGACCTAATCGATATTGACCAAGACAATAGAATATATGTTCTATTATGCTACACATGAAACATTTATCAATAGGCTATAGACCACAAAATATCTCTCAAGAAGTTTCAAAACACTGTAATCATGGAAAGTATGCTTTCTGACCATAATGAAAATGAGTTGAAATGGGTAAAAACAAGCTACCCAGGAAAGTCTACACTATTGGAAGATTTAAATACACCTTAAAATGCCCTTTAGCTCAATGAAGAAATCATAAGAAACACCTTTAAATACATTGAACTGAATACAAATAAAAATATACTATATCAAAATGTATGGGATAAAGTTAAGCAGACCCAGAGTAAATTTTTTGTATAAATGCTTATTCTAGAAAAGAGAAGTTCAAAACAAGTGAACTAATTTCTACCTTAAAAAGAAAATCTAAAACAAGAGAGCAAATTAAGTCCAAAACAAGTAGAGGAAAGGAAATAAAACAGAAATTAGAAATCAATGAGACAGAAAACAGAAACAGGAGAAAATCAACATGGCCAAAAGTTAGTTCTGTGAGAAAGAAAGAAAACGCAAATTATACATATCAGGGATTAATGAGATTGTACAGTTGTAGACACAAGAGACTTTAACAAGATAATGGAATATTGTGAAACATTATATACAAATTTTCATTACTTGGATGAAAGGGTGACTTCCTTGAAAAAAACTTATAAAAAATTTCACAAGATTTAATGGAACATAGGAAGTAATTGACATTTATTAAAGTAATTAAATTAATTGTAAAATACCTGCACATAAAAACATAAAATTAAATAAATAAAAAAATAAGCAAACCCCAGATCTAAAGAATTTCACTGGTGAATTCTTTCAAACGTTTTAAAAAAATAAAATTTTTAAATTATTTCAGAAATAAAGAAGGGGGAAATTCCAAACTTGTTTTATGAGTCAGAATCCTGATACCAAAATTACAAAACCTAGGAATGCAAAATTGACTTCAACTTAAAGAGCTATCACCATTCTAATCTGTGATTCTAATGAATTTGGCTATCTTAGATACTTTATACAAGTGGAATCATACAGTTTGTCCTTCTGTGACTGATTTACTTTACTTAGCATTAATGTCCTCTAGGTTCATCCATGTTGCATATTGACGGGCTTTCTTGTTTTAAAGCTGAATAATATTCCGTTGTATGAATATACCACATTTTCTTTATCTTTTCATCTGCCAATAGACATTAACCTTATTCCCACATTTTAATTAGTGTAAATAATGCTGCAATGAGCCTGAGAATCATCCCAATCTCCATTCTTTCAGATAAATAACCTGAAGTGAGACTACTAGATCATATGCTAGTTCTACTTTCTTAATTTATTTGAGGAACCACCGTACTGTTTTCCATAGAGGATGCACAGTTTTACTTTCCCAGAAACACTGTAGAAGTGTTCCAATTTCTCCCCATTGTTAACACTCGTTATCTTTTTCTTTTAATAAGACCATTCTAAAGGGCTTGAGGCAATATCTCTTTGTGGTTTTGATTTGCATTTCCCTGATTAGTGATGCTGAGCATTTTTTTCATGTATCTGTTGGTCATGTGGATATTTTCTTTGGAGAAATATCTATTGCTGATTTAAAAAAAAAAAAAAACTCTCAGCAAGCTAGATAAAGAAATTTTCTCGAAGTGATGGAAAGCATCCACAACAAAACATATAAACAATACTATATTTAATGGTGAAAGCGTAAATGTTTAAACCACATAGATTAGGACAAGAAAGGGATGTGTGTGTTCATCACCTCTATTCAACATTGTACTGGTGATCCTAGATTTTGAGTATAAATATTTAGGGGACAACTATTGTCACTGAAGCCCAAATCTTGGTCATCCTCAGAAAAAAAAAAAAGTTGATTAGGTTGTATATAATCTAATTTTACTTGCTAATTTAATTTCTCTAAAATTGCAGCTTGTATCAACTCTAGAATTTATTGGGCACCTCCTAGGACATAAACACTGGAATTTGGTGAGAGACGTCAAATAGGAAAGAACCTGGCTCTGACATAAATTCAACACACGGAGGGGGACACATGTTATGAGACTGACCTGGCCTCTTCATCTCATAAAAGGGGTTCTTGTTGCTTGTAACACAGATTAAAACTATTTCAATTACATTCAAGATAAAAAGATTAGCAATGGTATGTAAGATGAAAAAATCACCCCGCTGGAAGACGAAAGTCTCACAAAAGGATATTTAAGCTAGCCAACACTTTGAAATTCAGGCAGAGATCGTGATTTCTGGGTGAACTAAAGTAGCAAGAACAAAGTAGAGGCTCCAATTCTAGGAAAAATGGGTCCTAATAAGGTTTACAATCCAGAAACTCAAGATATCCAGACAGAAGGATGCAGTCTCCGCTTTCAAGGCAGCAGCAGTACCTGGATTACTAAGCCAATCCCCAACACAATCATAAACACAAATTTGATTGAGGAAGAAGCTTGCCCACCAGAAGATTTAGGTTATTACAAGGTAGAATGTGATAGAGAAAATGAGCATGGGACTGGAAAGAAAAGGAGGTAGCCCCATGATTACAACTGGAATATATGTGTCAGCGATGGTGCGGAAATAAGACTGAAGAGAGAGATCCTTAAACCCCACGTGCCTTACATCAGGACTAATCCTGGACACAGGCTGGAAAGCATAGCCTACAGGTGGTGAGGCAGGAGGAGTGGGCTCAGCTGTGAGAAGGAGAAGGAAATATGGCTGAAAACTAGATAGGGGTCTTGAAATCACACCGAGGATTTGGGCCTTTGCTGCTGTCTGCCAGCAGCTGCCAGTAGTTCTCACACTTTGGCTGGCAACAAAATCACCTGGGGCAGTGGTGCGGAAGCGGGGGGAGTGTTGTAAAACCACAAGTGACCAGGCAAAAAACACCTGTATGTTTTCCAATTCAGTAAGTACAGAAATATTAATTGGAAAAAGGTGGAGGTCAGACATTGATAGTGCTGTGGACTGCTCCAGGGACGTAAGCATGATCTTTAGAGAGGTGACTCTAATCAATTGAGGGCAACCACTGGACAGAAAGAGGTCCAGACCAACCATACACAGAGACATCATACAACTACACTTTAGCAACCTCTCCAAATAACATGTCTCTTAGTGAAACTTGGGAGGTTGCAAGTTAAAAACATAAAATCCAGTGGCATTTATGTATCCTAGGCACTTACATTTGTCTGATTCTTCCAACTTGCCTTTGCTTGGTTAGAGTTTTGGGTAGATAAGAGGTGGATTTACATGTGCTAGTGTGAGAACTTTGATACACTCATTTAGACATTGACCTACTATCTTGTTTGAAAGCTAAAACCCAAAGAAATTTGTCTTCTTACATAAAACAAATTCAGCCCTTGCCTTCCTTGTAGATTACATCTTCCACTAGCAGTAATAAAAAAGTAACAATATGCATAAGTCAAAGTATCTTCTTAGATCCTCTGTAGTGTTTTATTATTTAGTTGTGTTAATTAAAGTAACTGTCTCAAAATTTCAAGGAATGCCTGAGAAGAAATTCATGTTCAAAGGCTGCCCTCTTGTGACAATGTGTTGTATGCTTTACTGTAAAAGTAACCTTATTTTACCTTATAACCTCTACAATCCAATTCATAACAGCATAAAAAGGAAACAAAACCTTACATAATTTTGAATTTTAAAAAGTACCTTGTTTATATGGCTCCTTTAGCTAATGAATAGTCAATTTGGTAAATATTCAAGTGAGTTGAAGGTTTGAATATCTCACTTAACTAGCTTGATGAATGTATTTCTAAACCTATACAACCCACTCCTCTGCTTTTAAAAAATTAAAGTTAGCTGTAGATTGAGATGTCAGTGACACAGTTCATAGAACATAACTTAGATTGTCATCTACATTACTGTAACTACAAATACCACCCTCAGATGGAAGAATAAGTTTTATCAGTGAACATCTCTAATTGAACTATAAATGGTGTATGTCTTCTGGTTTTTACAAGCTCTTGGTCTAACACAGGGGATATATGATGTAAAAATTACAAAGCAAGGTCACTCACGGTGGCTCATGCCTGTAATCCCAGCACTTTGGGAGGCCAAGGCGGGCGGATCACAAGGTCAGGAGATCGAGATCATCCTGGCTAATATGGTGAAACCCCGTCTCTACTAAAAATACAAAAATTAGCTGGGTGTGGTGACACACGCCTGTAGTCCCAGCTACTCAGTAGGCTGAAGCAGGAGAATCGCTTGAACCCAGGACGCTGAGGTTGCAGTGAGCCGAGATCGCACCACTGCACTCCAGCCTGGTGGCAGAACAAGACTCCATCTAAAAATAAATAAATAAATAAATAAATAAATAAATAAATAATAAAATAGCAGTGACTATAATGTTTTGTGATGTTAAACTTTGAGAGCTTTTTTTTTTTCTTTCTTTTCCCAAGTGCCTTTCCCAGTTCCAGGAGCAGAGTTATTCTAAGCCCACTGATGTAAAGGAATAGAAAGAAAAGGTTTGTTGGAAAACCTAATAACCTGCTTTCTGTCTTTTGTTTTTTAAAAGCTTGAGCATTTGGGAGAATTTGGAAAGATTGTGGAGTAAGTGCAAAGAAGGAATTTGTTAACAAAAATCATATAGGGTAAAATGAGTTTTTTCCAGGTTAGAAAATATCCACTCCCTACCCTCCTACATTCCTTTCCCATGGTTAAGAAGAGGAAAAAACAAAGGCCTCTTGGTGAGCAGTGGTGACTTAGGCAGTTTCTTAGAAATATTCTAGAAGGCATAGTCATCTTTTAAAAAAAAAATAGCTACAAGGATATGTCTAAGCAGAAGGGTCCATGGGCCAAATTACGTGTAGATTTTTGCATTCCAAATATGGTAAAGAAGAAGCAGGAAGCTGGGGCTCCTTAACAGGTCACACAGAAATGGACAAGGAAGAGGCCAGCAGCAGCTTGTGGTGACAAGATGTCAAGCCCCAAATGTTAAACCCACCAACCATCCTCCAAATTCTGGCTCTGTTTAACAAGGCTGTGGTCTGACACTACATGCCGCCTCAGTGACTAAAGCATAATTTCCCGTCTCCTGGGAGTGTTGACAGCTGACTCCTGGCAACAATACTCACAGCACAGTAAAGTTCCTTCATCCAAGTTCATGTCCCTTCTCAAGGCATCCCACATCCGAGAACTGCTTGGTACAGAAATATAATGGCCTGGTTTTCTTGCTACAATTCGAGGTCATTAGGTAAACTCACCAAGATCTTGTAGAGTGGACTGCGGCCATGATAGTGATTGCATTCCAGCCGACTTCCTGCTCCACCCAATCCTATTGCTTTCACTCTTCCACAGGTGTTGGGAATATCATTTCAACCTCCTTGCATGCAAATCTCCAACTCGGAGTCGGCTTCCTAGGACACCTGACTGGTGATATCTCTATCACTATCACAGTACTTAGAGGGGAGCATCTTAAAATGATTGAAGGCTAACTGCCCTAACAGCACAGACAGATGATGGCTTAAAATAGAATTTAAGTGGATTTAAAAAAACATGAAAAAAGTTGACATTGCACGCTCATATGAGCTTATGGATCAAACCATGTGTATGATTTCTAAGATCCCTCGTGCAGTATATATTTGCACTGTTTATAAATGACATCCCCTTGAATTGAATTCAGTGCAATTCAAAACAGTAATTTGTGGGAAAAATTAGATATGCAGATAGCCTGGACTCTAGAGAAGCACACATCATTTGGAGAATAATAGTGAACCGGCTAGTCTATGAGGGAAGAAAACAGAGTGAATATAGACTATTAGTGAACAAGGATATTTTCCCATGTATATTCAAATTAAGGTGAACTTCTTTAGAGAATTGTGCCTTAGAAAGAAAAAGTATTTCCCTGTATTTGAGTCCTCACAAGTTTTCCTACGATGAGTGCTTTTGTGATTATTTTGAATAACAAAGTAATATTTAAAGAAACTCTCTTGCCCTGAATGTACTTTAATTTATGTCAATTGATGTTGCATATAGAGATCATCAGAGTCAAGCTACAAGAAAAAGAGGAACATAACTTAGCAAAGACTTAGAGGATTAGTCCTAATAGTGTGAAATCAAAATTTCAAGTGAGGGAATAAATGCAGCTTTTAATGATTACTTAAATGAAGTTTAACTCTAGCAGGATCTACAAGAAATTGGCAACCTTTGGCTTCAGTAACAGAAACTCAGGATATATGCCCTTCAGTGAGTTTGCATTCTGCATCATATTGAGAGACACTCCTTTAAACAGCAATAAGAAACTTCCTGTGACAACATAATAAATTCAAAAAGTTCTGTAACTCAGACAGTTTAGATAGAAGTGATAACTTTGGCCTATAAAGCCCTGTTCACCCTAAAGATGGATTAAACAATGAAAAAGATATTGATATCAAAAGTTCAATCAGTAATTTGATTAAAGCATTTCATTAAATGTGATAATTTCTTAGTATATTATCTTACATATGCAATATTCATGTGTAACAAATTATATACAAGTAAACATTTGACCATATTATCTGCAGCATAATTTACATATCAATTTACATATTCAGTTTTGCTCACATGAAAACTTGGATCTTCTCAATAAGAAAATTTGTGAAATCTTTAATTCCTCATCCCCAGGAATGTAAATAAATAAATATAAATACTGTAAGTCAGTGATTTTTTCCTAGGAAGACAGTAAAAATACTTTACACGCCTTCTCATTGTAAACCTAAATAACAAACAGAGAAAGGCTCTCTAAAGGAAAAAGACACATCTTAGGGAGGAGGGCACTGCAATGGGAATATGCATGACAAAGCAAACTATATAGATTCAAATGGTAAAGGAAGACAAGGTCTTTAAAAGAAAAGCGATCAACCTGGAAGTATGGGGGAGTAGAAAAAAATAAATAAGGGAAAATGAAGAGGCTTCTATAATTGTTTTGATATAGTTACCTTTGACTATAAAGATCAACAACAAGGTCAATATCAGTTGAAGTTTGGGCAGGCGGTTCCTGGATAGATGTCCTCACAGAAGTGTATTTTGTGTAAGGTTGCTATGGCCTTTGTGCAAGGTTGTGGATTTTGTGGTATTTTGTAATAGTTTTTATCAGGCCTAGAAGCATGAGAACCCTCTCTTCAAGGCCTTCTCTGAATCTATTTGTTCAGGTTTCTTCTTCTCTTTTTAAACATTAGTGACAGTTTTGATTCTGATAACTTTCATATCATGATCCCTAATTTCAAAAAAAATTAAACGTGTAACTTATTTATGATGTATTTGATAGGCTTGGATTTGTGAATCACCTCTACTGTCTATAGTGGTAGATATATCTGAGCCTGCTTACACAGCACTTCCATCAGATTCTCTCTTCAGTGGAATTGGAAGAGGGGGTTTCGGAGAAGGGAATGAAGGAATTGTGCTGCATCAGAGGTCCCCACCTAACAGCACAGGGCCTTTTTCTGTGCTCTGGCCAGGCCGTTGTATTGGCTGATGCAAAAGTAATTTTGGTTTTGTCATTGAAAGTAATGAGACCATCTGACTTACAATGTCTGTGCCATAACCAGCTCCTAATAGCCTCCGAGGACAGCTTTGCCCTGACATATACTGTCCTGGGACCACGTCTGCTTTGTAACTCCTGAGGTAGCTGCCACCATGACCAATGCCTTCTCATCTTTACTCTACATGCAGGTAACAGTTATAATTATATCTCTGTGTATTCACAGAACATTTAGTACATCTGGGACTTCTACAAAATTTCCCTAGCTGATTTTGGTGTTCTGGGGTACTGGCAGCTCTAGCCATGAAGGGATGATGCTTTATCAGCATTTCTGTTGAGTTTTTTGCTTTTTCTCAAAAACTGATTCCACTTTTCCCACATACGTTTGACAATTCATTTGAACTCATTTATTCTAAACCCATTATTTCTGGTCTATTATTTAATAGGAAGGGAGGCGAGGGATAAAAGATTACAAATAGGGTGCAGTGTACACTGCTCGGGTGATGGGTGCACCCAAATCTCACAAATCTCCAGTAAAGAACTTACCCATGGAACCAAATACCACCGTACCCCAATAACCTATGGAAAAAAATAAAAAATAAAGTAAAAAAGAGTCAGAAAGAAAGAAAATAATCACTGTACTTCCCAAGACACTTAGAAATGGTGACTAGCATTATTTGTAAGTGTCACCTAATAATATTATTATTTTTTCTTTATGCTACAAACTAGCTCTGCTATTACAATCACTACTATTTGAAGTGTTACTAAATTAAATTAAATCTATTGTATCCTTCTGGACTCAGAAATGGGGGTAAATGCTAAGACAATTTCAGAATATGATCACATATTAAAAGCATATTATATGGGGAAAATTTGATTTTTAAAAAATAGAAATTGGTAGAGAAACAATTTTTGGGTCTTTAATTTACGCACATTTTGCAAGTATGGACGCTGAATTTATTGTTCCAAATGATTGTTTTCAAGCATGTTTGTATAGAAAACAGCCTTGGAATAGAAAACCAGTACCTCCTTCTGGAACAAAGGAAAAGTTTATTTACTGTCTAGTATAATGCAGATAATTTCTCCCTCTTGGGAAGCATACAGCCAAGTGAACTTCCAATAACACAAGTTGGGGTTTCTTGAGCTTGGGTTTTTCTTCCACAGTGTAATGTGCAGGTGCCACTTGGCTCTCTTTGTGTTATCCTGCGAAAGCTGATGGCTATAGGTGCATGTGTTTATTTTGGGGTTCTCTATTATGTTTCATTGGTCTTTGTGTCTGTTTTCATATCAGTACCATGTTATTTTGTCTACTGTGGCCTTAGGGTATAGTATGAAGTCAAGTAATGTGATGTCTCCAGCTTTGTTCTTCTTGCTTAGATTTCCTTTGGTTGTCTGGGCTCTTTAAAAATCCATATGAAATTTAGAATATTTTTTTTTCTGATTCTGTGAAAAACGACATTGGTTGTTTCATAGGAATAGTGTTGAATGTGTAGATTGCTTTTGGCAGTATAGCCATTTTAACAATATTGATCTTTCTAATCCATGAGCATGGAATGGTTTTCCATTTGTTTCGAGATCTATGATTTCTTTCTGCAGTGTTTTGTAGTTCTCCTTTTAGATATCCTTTACCTCCTTGGTTAGACATATTCTTCCTTTATTTTATTTTATTTTGGGGGTTGCTGTTGTAAACAGGATTGCACTCTTGATTTACCTTTCAGTTTAAACATTTTTGGTGAACAGAAATGCTACTTCTTTTTATATGTTGTTTTTTTTTATCCTGAAAGTTTGCTAAAGTTTTTTTTATCAGTTCTAGGAGCCTTTTGGCACAGTCTTTAGGTATTTCTAGGTGTAGAATCATATCATCAGTGAAGAGAGATAATTTGACTTCATTTCCTATTTGGATGCTTTTTATCGCTTTCTCTTGCCTGCTTGCTCTGGCTAGGACTTGTTAAACAGGAATGGGGAGAACAGGCATCCCTATTTTATTCCTGTTCATAAGGGGAATGTGTTGGGAGAAAAGCTGAGTGTTGGAAGAGAAGCTGAGGCAGGGCCATATGTTTCTCATTCACTTGATACACCATTTCCTTTCAACCCCCACATCCTCACCACCTGTTTCTTTGTTTGAGCACCAACAAATAGCGTGGGCTCCCAGAGCTTGGGGACTTTGCAGACTCCATACTCGTGATGGTCTCCTGGTCCCACTTTCTCTCTCAAACTGTCTTTTTCTCATTCCTTTGACTCTGCCGGACTTCATCACCCCCATGACCTAGTGTTGGGTCTGATCACCCCAACATTCCTGGCGCCCAACATGGGGTGACAAAGACCCGGTGAAGGAAGGCTAGAGCATATGAAAGCAGAGGACACATCATCAAAAGACACCCGAGGACATACAAAGATGGGGAGTGAAAGTTAGTACTTAGAATTTGTTATTACTCTTTAGTACAGTAAAGCAGTTTTGCCCATGGTTTCCAGAACAAAGGACTATGAAGTTGGATGAATGGGAGAGAATTGGAAGAGATTTTTAATAGGCATATAAAGATGGAGCAGAAATTCCAGTTTATATATGGTCAGTGTGGGCACTAATAAAGGCAGCCCTTCAGCCATTTCAAACAGATGATGAGGCAGATTCAGATGAGGAAGAGGAGGATGAGTGTAAAAAACTAACTTCAAATTCTGAGTGTGAGGAGCAGCTACCGGAGGAGATTAAAGAAAAGAAAGAAAAACTTTAAAAAGTATGTTTTACTAGCCCGTTGGCTCCACCTGCTGAATTAAGTGAATGGCCACCTCCTCTCTCTCCCCTAAATGGGTGAGAAAATAAATTAGCTGAAAAACTTACTGCTCCTGTAGTTACAACATTAAAACCTGGAGCAGTTGGTGGTGCTAGACAAAATTCTATTCAAAAAGCTAAAGCCAAGGGAGACCTTGAAGCATGGCAATTTCCCGTTACTATAATCCAGCAAGTAGGACAGAATATAGCTAATTAGCCTGCTTTTTCTTCTAAGTTACTAAAGAATTTAAGCAAGCCATTAGTCAATATGGACTGAACTGTCTTTTTGTGCAATCTTTATTAAAAAATATGGCTCTTGATAATACATTACTACCATATAATTAGGATACTTTGACAAAACCTGTTTTCACTCCATCTCAGTACTTGCAGTTTAAAACTCTACAAGATCTTGGTGAGTTTACCTAATGACCTCGAATTGGAGCAAGAAAACCAGGCCTCTGTAATGGCCTCTGTAATATTATGCTCAAACTCAGGCAAAAGAAAACACACACGTGCAGCCACCTGTGCCTGTTTTCTTTGATCAGTTAATATGAGTTGGCCCTAACTGGGTTTGATTAGAGAATCAAGCAGTAATGGAAGATGTTGCCATTGTTCAGCTGTGCTTCATGTGCTTACAGGCATAGAAAAGGATAAATGTTACAGGGGAAAAGTATCCTTATTTCAGTTCTGTCTGACAAGAACCTAAAGAACCATATATTAATTTTATTGCTCAGCTCCAAGAGGCTGTGTATAAAGCCGTAAATGATCAAAACAGCTCAGGATGTTGTAATACAGCTTCTTGCATACAATAATGCTAATGCAGAGTGTCAAACTGCTATTAGATCCCTGAGAGAGAGGGCTCATTTAACTAAATATATTAAGGCTTGCGATGGCATTGGAGGTAATTTACATAAGGCCATTCTTTTAGCTCAGGCTATGGCTAGATTAAGAGTAAGAAAAAATATGCTTCATTTCTCAGGCTCTTGCCTTAATTGTGGGCAAATTGGACACAAGAAAGGAATGCAGAAAGGAATTCAAAAGATGAAAACTACTACCATCAATCAACAGAAAAGTCCCAGTGTATGTCCCTGGTGTAAGAAAGGCAATCACTAGGCAAGTCCGTGTCATTCTAAATTTAGCAAAGATGGACAACCTCTTTCAGGAAATAGGAAGAGGGACCTGCCTCGAGCCCCACAACAAACCGAGGCATACCCAGCACAGCCACTGCCCTTACAAATGTACAACAATTGTCCCCCGCCTCAGCAAGCAGTGCTGCTGTAGACCTCTACAGAACAATTCCCATCTCCTTACTTCCTGGGGAGCCACCAAAGGAGGTCCCCACAGGAGTTACGGCACCCTTACCCTGAGGAACTGTTGGGAACAAGCCCCCTCATATCCGGCCTTAAACTGGCCCCAAAACTGGTCATAAACAAAATCTCTGCAGTACTGTGACATGTTCATGATGGCCGTAACACCCACGCTGGAAGATTGTGTGTTTATCGGAATGAGGACAAGGAATACCTGGCCCGTCCAGGGTGGAAAACCACTTAAAGGCATTCTTAAGCCACAAACAATAGCATGAGTGATCTGTGCCTTAAGAACATGCTTCTGCTGCGGTTAACTAGCCCAACCTATTCCTTTAATTCAGCGCATCCCTTCGTTTCCCATAAGGGATAATTTTAGTTAATCTAATATCTATAGAAACAATGCTAATGACTGGCTTGCTGTTAATAAACACGTGGGTAAAACTCTGTTCAGGACTCTCAGCTCTGAAGGATGTGAGACCCCTGATTTCCCACTTCACACCTCTATATTTCAGTGTGTATGTCTTTAATTCCTCTAGCGCTGCTGGATTAGGGTCTCCCCGACCGACCTGGTCTCAGCAAGTGGTGCCCATTCATGGGGGCTCGAATACAGGTCAAAGGATCGCTGGAGCAACGATTGGAGAATGTGGAACTAGCTGGAGGACACCTGAGTACTCTTAAAGCAATCCCCGTGGTGAGTAAGAAGGGGAGCTCGGAAGCATCAGGGTAACAATGGGACAAGTGTGGGCTGTGGTTCATTCTACCTTGGAACTTTTTCACACTGATGATGAGGAGGAAGGAGAGTATAACAAAGTAACAGTAGAGGTTACAGACCAGGTTTATTTGCCACCTAAAGCTAAAGCAGAAAAGGAGGGAGAGGTTCATCCCTACCCTTCTGCACCCCCTCATTATTATTTTGAAGAAAACGACCCACCAGATCTTTCTTTTCTGGAGGACACTGGGTGAAAAGTAGTTGCCCTGGTGACTGTTCGAGCAGCGCCTTGAGCGACTGCTCTTAGTTCTATTCAGGCAGGAATACAGCAAGCAAAACAAAAGTGGGATTTAGAGGCTTGGCAGCTCCCTGTTAGAATACACCCCCCAGATCAACAGGGAAATATTATAGCTACATTTGAGCCTTTTCCTTTTAAATTACTCAAAAAATTTAAACAAGCTATAAATCAGTATGGACCAGGTTCTCCTTTTGAAATGGGACCGTTAAAGAATGTTGCTGTTTCCAGTCGGATGATTCCTACTGACTGGGACACTATTACTCGAGCTTGTCAACTCCTGCTCACTTCTTACACTTTAAAACTTAGTGGGCAGATGAAGCTTCCATTCAGGCTGCTCACAATACCTGGGCCCAACCTCAAATTAATATAACTGCAGACCAACTTTTAGGGGTTGGTTTCTGAGCTGGTTTACATGTACAAGTGGTCATGCAAGATGATGCCATAGAACAGCTTAGTGGAGTGTGCATTAGAGCTTGGAAAAAATCACTTCATGTGGAGAACAATACCATTCCTTTAGTGCTATAAAACAGGGACCAAGAGAACCATATGTGGATTTTATAGTTTGGTTACAGGAGTCTCTTAAAAAGATGATTGCAGATTTGGCTGCTTAGGATATAGTGTTGCAGTTATTAGCTTTTGACAATGCTAATCCCTATTGCCAGGCTGTTCTGTGACCTATCAGAGGGAAAGCACATTTAGTTGATTATATCAACGGCTGTGATGATATCAGAGGTAATCTACATAAAGCTACTTTGTTGGCACAGGCAATGGCAGGACTGAGAGTGGATAAAGGAAATACTCCATTTCCTGTAGCTTGTTTTAACTGTGGGAAGCATGGTCATACTAAAAAGAATGTAGAAAAAAAATCAGCGAGTCAGGTCACCAGATAGAGGAAAAAAGAAAACTGCTGATCCTGAAATATTTCCAAAATGTAAAAAAGGAAAACTTTGGGCTAATCAGTGTCACTCTAAGTTTGATAAACAAGGGAACCCGATTTCGGGAAACTCCCTGGGGGGCCCATCCCAGGCCCTGTTCTAAACCAGGGCATTTCTAGCTCAGGCCATTCCCTCACACCCGTACATTATCTGTCCCCCACCATAGCCCATAGTGTCGCAGTAGACTTATGCTGCACAAAAGCTGTGAGCCTTCTGCCTGGGGAACCCCCGCAAAAGGTTCCAACAGGAGTCTGTGGACCGTTGCCAGGAGGGACAATGGGATTACTTTTAGGAAGGTCTAGTTTAAGTTTAAAAGGGGTACAAATACACACTGGAGTCATTGATTCAGATTACAATGAGGAAATTCAAATTGTGATATCTACTTCTTTTCCCTGGAAAGCACAGCCAGGAGTGGGCATAGCACAGCTCCTGAGTGTGAAGTATGTGGGAATGGGAAAAAGTGAAATTAAATGAACTGGAGGATTTGGAAGCACAAATAAAAAAGGCAAGGCAGCTTATTGGGTAAATCAAATTACTGATAAACATCCTATCTGTGAAATAACTATCCAGGGAAAGAACTTTAAAGGTTTGGTAGATACAATTTTTTTTTTTTTTGGTAGGAGTGGACATTTCAATCATTTCTCTACAGCACTGGCCGTCCATGTGGCCAATTCAGCCCACTCAATTTAACACAGTGGAAACTGCTAAAGCCCCAGAAGTGTATCAAAGTAGCTATATTTTGCATTGTGAAGGGACCGATGGACAACCTGGGACTGTTCAACCAATTGCAACTTCTGTACCTATAAATTTATGGGGGAGAGATTTATTATGACAATGGGGAGCACAAGTTCTAATTCCATAGCAATTATACAGCCCTCAAAGTCAACATATGATGCACGAAATGGGGCATGTCCCTGGTATAGGAGTAGAAAAAAATTGCAAGGTTTGAAAGAACTGCTTCAAACGGAAAGACAAAGTTCCTGCCAAAGATTAGGATACCATTTTTGATGGTGGCCACTGTTAAGCCTCCAGAACCTATACCTTTAAAATGGTTAACAGATAAGCCAATTTGGATAGAATAATGGCTGCTAAGCAAAGAGAAACTGGATGCTTTAGAGAAATTAGTTACTGAACAATTAGAAAATGGGCACATAGCTCCAACATTTTCCCCTTGGAATTCTCCAGTGTTCATAATTAAGAAAAAATCAGGTAAATGGAGAATGTTAACTGACTTAAGAGCCATCAATTCAGTTATACAACCTATGGAAACATAACAGCCAGGATTGCCTTCTCCTACTATAATTCCAAAAAATTGGCCTTTAATAGTCACAGATTTAAAAGACTGTTACTTTACTACCCTTTTAGCTGAGCAAGACTGTGAACGGTTTGCATTTACAATTCCTGCAGTAAACAACCTGCAGCCTGCTAAGCGTTTTCGTTGTTTCACAGATGGGTCTAGTAATGGTAAAGCTTCTTATTCTGGATCAAAAGGTAAAGTTTTCCAGACACCCTATACTTCAGCTCAAAAAGCGGAGCTTGTAGCTGTAATTGAGGTATTGACTGCTTTTGATATGCCTGTTAATGTGATTTCTGATTCTTCATACATGGTTCATTCCACACAGTTAATTGAAAATGCTCAGTTACGATTTCATACAGATGAACAACTGATAATAAAAACAAAAAAAGGGGGAGAAACAGGGATTACGGGTAGCCCATACACAATTGAATCTATCATTATTAACTTTCAAATTTTTGAGCCTGCCCAAAGGCCAGATGTTACCAGCAGCTGAACAGCATCTACAGAAACTAGCTGCAAAGAGAGAAGCAGAACAACTGGTTTGGTGGAGAGATCCAATAACAAAAAGTTGGGAAATAGGTAAAATTATAACTTGGCATAGAGATTATGCTTGTGTTTCTCCAGGACTGAATCAACAACTGATTTAGATACCATCAAGACACCTGAAATTTTATCATGAGTCAGATGCTGAGGAAGAGATAAAAAGCACAATCATCATTGAAATTAGAGCTTCTGGCTGGGCACGGTGGCTCACGCCTGTAATCCCAGCACTCTGGGAGGCCGAGGTGGGCAGATCACAAGGTCAGGAGATCGAGACCATCCTGGTTAACACGGTGAAACCCCGTCTCTACTAAAAATACAAAAAATTAGCTGGGTGAGGTGGCGGGCGCCTATAGTCCCAGCTACTCAGGAGGCTGAGGCAGGAGAATGGCATGAACCCGGGAGGCAAAACTTCAGGTTTTGCCAAGAATGACACTGTAAATGTAACAAAGCTTCTGTGCTTGTTAGTGAACACCAAATCAGCTACTCTCCTGTATTCGGAGATCAGGATGAAATGAAAAGAACAAGCAGGCCGGGCGCGGTGGCTCATGCCTGTAATGTCAACACTTTGGGAGGCTTCGGTGTGCGGATCACCCGAGGTTGGGAGTTTGAGACCAGCCTGACCAACATGGAGAAACCCCGTCTCTACTAAAAATGCAAAATGTGCTGGGCATGGTGGCACAAGCCTGTAATCTCAGCTTTGGAGGCTGAGGCAGGATAAGTGCTTAAACCTGAGAGGGGGAGGTTGCTGTGAGGCAATATTGCACCATTGCACTCCAGCCTGGGCAACAAGAGTGAAACTCCATCTCAAAAAAATAAAAAATAAAAAAAGACCCCCAACCTTGTCTAGACTGTGGGGTTTCAGTTTCACCCCAGGGGGGTCCTGGTTGGGTTAGAATCCTGAATCTCGTTTGAGTTCGAACCCTAAAGAATAAAGGGAATAAAGGCTGTAGCTACTGAGCTACTCAATCTGGTCTGGTTCTGGCTTTTGTGTGTCTATCTGTATTTTTGGTCTAAATATTTGGCCCAACAGAGGTTAAAGGCTTTGATGTTCTCAGCAAAAGCCTTGTGAGATTTCTAGTTTATCTGTGTGCTCAATTGGAACAAAGAGACTCAATAAACTAGAAAAACCTAAAGAAAATGGCACACGTGAAAAATTGAGAGCCAACTCCTGTTTGTTGTTCTGTCCACCTCCCTCTCTCACTCCTCCTTCTGC
Source organism: Homo sapiens (assembly GCF_000001405.40). NCBI lineage: Eukaryota > Metazoa > Chordata > Mammalia > Primates > Hominidae > Homo > Homo sapiens. Next base: position 129,584 of record NT_187513.1, on the reverse strand, counting down.
CTTTGCTGTGGTCCCATGGTGTTTCTGTCTTTCCGGGGACCTGAGATTCAGTGTAGGAGTGAAGTCCATGATTTTAAAGCCTTCATGTCTCTGCTTTTTAACTCTGCCTGCTTTGCTGAGCTCTTATAATGAGAAATAAACTATTCAGATCAGGTACAACAGGGCATCAGAAAACCAACTTCAGGCAGCGCTCCGGCAAGTACCTCCCTAGAGGGGAAGGGCTTACTAAAGGAGATTTAATCTTGAAAAGGCCAAAATGAGAAGCTCTAACCTTTAGCTTGCTAGGTTTTCTGGGACTCGAGCTGGCTATATATTATGGACCATTCTAGCCACACACACACACACACACACACACACACTTTTTTGAGACAGAGTCTTGCTCTGTTGCCCACGCTGGAGTGCAGTGGTGCGCTCTTGGCTCACTGCAACCTCCACTTCCCAGGTTCGAGCAATTCTCCTGTCTCAGCCTCCTGAGTAGCTGCGATTACAGGTGTACGCCAACATACCCGGCTAATTTTTGTGGTTTTAGTAGAGATGAGGTTTCACTATGTTGACCAGGCTGGTCTCAAACTCCTGATCTCAAGTGATCCACCCACCTTGGCCTCCCAAAATGCTGGGATTACAGGCATGAGCCACTGTGCCCAGCCTATATATATATATATATATATATATATATATATATATATATATATTTATATTTATATTTATATATTTATATTTATATTTTTTTTCTTTTTCTTTTTGACACACAGTCTTGCTCTGTTGCCCAGGATGGAGTATGGTGGTACAATCGCGGCTCACTGCAACCTCCACCTCCCAGGTTTGAGCGATTATCCTGCCTCAGCCTCCTGAATAGCTAGGACTACAGGTGCACACCACCACACCCAGTTAATTTTTGTATTTTCAATAGAGATGGGGTTTTGTCACGTTGGCCAGGCTGGTCTCAAACTCCTGGCCTCAAGTGATCCACCTGCCTCAGCCTCCCGTAGTGTTGGGATTACATGAATGAGCCACTGCACCTGGTCTCTAGTGCACACTTTAAACCTGACGGCCAAATTACATGAAAGAAAATTCAGAACTCAAATAGTTACTATTTTTAAAAACCCTAAAATGAAAAAGTCTCAGTTCTTTTGCCTATCTTTTTTTTTTTCCCTGCCTACTTTGAATCTGCTGATTTGTCTACTGGTGTTGAGATAAGACTTACTGTCTGTGGTGTTACCAATTCAAGGTTACTTGGCTGAAGAAAAACAAAAGAATGAAACAATTTTTTATTTTTTTCTCTTTTTGAGACAAGGTCTTACTCTAAGGTCTTACTCTGTTCCCCAGACTGGAGTGCAGTAGTGGGATCATAGCTCACTGTTATCTCAACCTCCCAGGCTCAAGCAATCCTCCTGCCTCATCCTCTCTAGTAGCTGGGACAATAGGCATGCACCACCATGCCTGGCAATTTTTTATCTTATTCTTAGTAGAGATTGGATCTCACTCTGTTGCCCAGGCTGGTCTCAAACTCCTGAGCTCAAGTGATCCTCTTGCCTCAGCCTCTCAAAGTGCTGGGATACAGGCATGAACCACTGTGCCCAGACAAAAGAGTTCTTTTATAAATGCAAATAATTTAAAAAGTATTGATAAAATAAAAATAGAAATGTCTTCAGAATTGTCAGCATACATTTTTGACTGTGTTTTATATTTACATTTGCTAGGTATTTTAAGGTGCTAGGGTTTGGCATGAAGGTTATAAAGCTATAAACACAGGAAAAAAAGAATATTTGTTTATGTGATTTTTTAAATACATAAGACCAATTTAATACGGTTTGTTGAACAAAAATAATGGAATTTTCTGAGTTATTGGTAAAATACCCTTGTATTTAACTTTGAAATCCTCACTTATGTGAACACCTGATATTCACAGGCTATAACATGGTTAACAAGAAAATAACCTAGAAATGATGACTAGCTTTGTCTAATACCTCAGTTCTCACAAATACTCTAGATAAACTGTCAAAAATAAGTAAATGTAAATGGATAAATGTCTATACAAGACATTTTAATGTATTTTTGAAATTTTTTTGAGCCAATGTCTCTGCCTGTCACCCAGGCTGAAGTGCAGTGGCATGATCACAGCTCATTGCAACCTTGACCTCCTGCACTCAAGGGATCCTCCCACCTCAACCTCCCAAGAAGTTGTTAATTACAGGCATGCAACACCATGGTCAGCTAACTTTTATTTTTTTTGTAGAGTCAGCATCTCGCTATTTGCTCAGGCTGGTCTCACGATACTCCTGCCTTGGCCTCCTAAAGTGTTGGAATTACAGGTGTGAGCCACCATGCCCAGCCTATTTTTGAAATTTTAGTTATGTTAAATTAAATAATAGATACTCATTAAATATCTGGGTTATTTCCAATTTAAAACTTATGTTTTAGCCCAGGCACTATGGCTCATGCCTGTAATCCCAACACTTTGGAAGGCCAAGGCGGGTGGCTCACCTGAGGTCAGGAGCTCAAGACCAGCCTGATCAACATGGTGAAACCCCATCTCTACTAAAAACTACAAAAAATTAGCCAGGTGTGGTGGTGGGTTCCTGTAATCCCAGCTACTCGAGAGGCTGAGGCAGGAGAATTGCTTGAACCTGGGGGACGGAGGTTGCAGTGAGCTGAGATCACACCATTGCACTACAGCCTGGGCAACAAGAGCGAAAATCCACCTTAAAAAATATGTTTTAGGAACACATAATTCTAAATTATGAAATCATTCTCATATGTAAGATACTGCTATATGACAATTCAAGATTTCTTTCTTCCTAAGTTTTTTATTAAAATAAGGGTTACTAAGTGTTAATATCTTGGTAGATATATGTGATTAAGACTACTAGATACAAGAGAAACAATTCTGTATGCAAAATCTATACGGGTTTTTGTTTCAGAGAAAGTAAATTCGCTTAGAGATTTTTAAGGATTATTTTAAATTGAAGGAATAAAAAAGATAGATAAAACTAAATGTGTATAAAAAGTTGGGAAAGATGGAAAAAATTATACAAGGTTATTAAAAGTTTATGTAAATCTTACCTCGAGGTCAAAACTGATTGAGATCAGATAGATTGTTTATAAAGTTTATTTAAATTAGCTGTAATATTAAAAACATAGTGATAAAAAACAAAAAAATTTGGTTAAAACAACAAGGTTTTCTTAATGCATTTATTTGCTCATAATAAGAGGTAATAAATATTGACTTTTAATCCTGATATCTGTTACTATAAAATTTTTTCAGATTTGTATATCAGAAGTTCAACGTTTCCTGTACTTTCATGTTACACATGACTCACAGATCACATCATTGTCTTCTGTTTCTTCTTGAGAAGGAATAAAAGGCTTGGGTTTCCTGCTTGGCTGGGATGATAACTCCTTCAGCTTTTTCATCAGGTCTAATTTTGTACTCTTGGCCTTTAAATATGTCTTAATTACTTCATGTAACCAGGATACAGCAGGAAACTTCCATGCTATCATTGTGAGCTATGGATCCCCACTGCTCTATGCTCTGGTTTTCCTGTTTACATTCCTCTGTAATATTATGCTCACTCATGACCGTGGACACACTCTTTCTATGTCTAATTAAATTCAAGTCTCCGTGTCATCGGTTTGACTTCCAAGTGATTTAAATTAGCTTCCCATAAGAAGACACAATTATGCCACAGGAGCTTTTACCCTTTAAATGACTGGCCTGTAATAAAGATTTTAGGTTTTATCAAGATAATCCATGTGTTGCCTTTATTGTTTTTTTAATTACTTGGGAAAACTGAGGGTTTTCAGTTTTCACATCCATGTAACCTTCTATGTTGCTTTTGATGTCTTTTGGTTGTCATGTTAATTAAATGAATGTTATTTAAAAATGACATGTGGCTGTGTGCAGCGGCTCTTGTCTGTAATTCCAGCCCTTTGGGAGGCCAAGGTGGGTGGATCACTTGAGCCCAGGAGTTCAAGTCCAGCCTGGGCAAAATGGCAAAACCCCATATCTACTAAAAATACAAAAGCTAGCTAGGTGTGGTAGCAAGTGCTCATAGTCCTGGCTACTTGGGAGACTAAGGTGGAGGATCACCTGAGCCTGGGAGGTTGAGGCTGCAGTGAGCCATGATTTCACCACTGCACTCCAGCCTGGGCAACAGGGTGAGACCCTGTCTCAAAAAAATAATAAAATAAAAAACAATAAACTGCCATTCCGTTTTGGTCAAATGTTTTCAATTTTTTGACATCTTTGCTAAAACTTAGTTGATAACATTGTATGGGAAGCATTGCCAAAAGATAAGTAACACTAAATCTTCTTTTTTTTTTTCTCTGAGACAGAATTTTGCTTTGTCACCCAGGCTGGAGTGCTGTAGCATGATCTAGTTTCACTGCAAATTCTGCCCCAAGGTTCAAGCAATTCTTCTGCCTCAACCTCCCAAGTAGCTGGGACTACAGACAAGTGCCACCATACCCGGCTAATTTTGTATTTTTAGTAGAGACAAGATTTCTCCATGTTGGCCAGGCAGGTGTCGAACTCCTGACCTCTGATGATCTGTCCAACTTGGCCTCCCAAAGTGTTGGGATTACAGGCATGAGCCACTGTGCCCAGCTTAAATCTTCTTTTGGTTACATTTATAGGTATGTTATTAATATAAATATTTTAAAAGTTATATAAATTATAAAAATCTAATAGGGTTTCAGTCATAATTTTGATGATGTTAAATATTTTCTAAAGTTGTATGTGTATAGATATATTATTAATATAAATATTCTAAAGATTATATAAAATTTGTGGAAGTCTGATGGATCTGATGTGTTGCCATCAGTCATGATTCTGGCTGTTATCTTAAAATGCTACATATAATACAAATAACTAAATTTTCTCGAGATTTGAGAACTTCCACTGGATTTTAACCAACGGCTATTCTAAGTTTTTGTCATCCACGGTGATTGATTAAAGTTCTTCTCTAAAACCCTTTACAGGCCGGGCACAGTGCTGGAGGCCATGCAGGGCACGGTGCTGGGCATGGTGCAGGGCATGGAGGCTCATGCGTGTAAATATCCCAGCACTTTGCAAGGCTGAGGTGGGTGAATTGCTTAAACTAAGAAGTTTGAAAGCAGCCTAGGCAATATGGCAAAATCCCATCTCTACAAAAATACAAAAATTAGCCAGGCATGATGGTGCATGCCTATGGTCCCAGCTACTTCGGAGGGTGAGGTAGGAGGATGGCTTGAGTTTGGGAGGGAGAGATTGCAGTGAACCAAGATCATGCCACTGCACTCCATCCTGAGTGATAGAGCCAGACCGTGTCTCAAAAAAAAAAGCCTTTACAATCAGCTATCATCTAAATTACTTTTAATGGAAAGGATTCTGACAAGTTCTCTTAAATATGGTTTCAGATAACTTTGGGGATCAAACCATTGGACTAGGAAAATCTTCCAGGACTCTAAAAAGCTGAATGAGAATTTCTAATTGAAATCAAGCAAAACACAAAAAACTGAATGAGAATTGCTATTTGAAATCAAGCAGAACAAGATTTAGTTACATGGGAGTGAACTTATAAAAGAAGGAAAAGATTTTATCCATGGCCCTCCCATTAGAAACATTGTTGATCCTCTTTATGTTTTGTTTTCCAAAGTCAATAATTTTTTTTCTTTTCAGCTATTTTTAACTTACAATACATTAGATAAACTACATTGTGAACAAAAATTTGAGCCATTTATCTGTCTCTCTAGCTGATTTCTCCAGAATTCAGAAGCCATTCGTGAGCATTCTTAAATTATGGCAATATAATTATTTGCATAATTTCAATAAGAATCTGTTTTTGGTAACAAGATTCAATTGGAGACACTGTTTGTTTTATCAAGGCTTTAACTCGAATGGCAGATACAACCAGACCACTTTAAGGAATTGAGGTTGACTTTATAGCACCAATACAAAGCCCCTTAGAATGACTGGCTTGATGTCCTGTATACAAAGGTCCTTTACAAAGTTGCTATTCTTGTGGTAAGAAATAAAGAATGTCACTTTCTGATGGGCCAGGAACCTCAAGATATTTGGGGACCTTGAGAAGAGAGGACTACACCTATTCATTAAAGTATTACAGGAGAGCTGGCAAGATGTCTGAATAGGAACAGCTCCGGCCTGCAGCACCCAGTGAGATCAACACAGAAGTCAGGTGGTTCATGCATTTCCAACTGAGCCTCCACTGGTGATACCCAGGAAAACAGGGTCTGGAGTGGACCTCCAGCAAACTCGAGCAAACCTGCAGCAGAGGGACCTGACTGTTAGAAGGAAAACTAACAAACAGAAAGGAATAGTATCGACATCACCAACATCAAAGACCAAAGGTAAATAAATCCACAAAGATGGGGAGAAACCAGTGCAAAAATGCTGAAAACTCCAAAAGTCAGAATGCCTCTTCTCCTCCAGAAGATCACAACTCCCCGCCAGCAAGGGAACAAAACTGGACAGACAGTGAGTTTGATGAATTGACAGAAGTAGGCTTCAGAAGGCGGGTAATAACAAACTCCTCCGAGCTAAAGGAGCATGTTCTAACCCAATGCAAGGAAGCTAAGAGCCTGAAAAATAAAGGTTAGACGAATTGTTAACTAGAATAACCAGTTTAGAGAAGAATATAAATGACCTGATGGAGCTGAAAAACCCAGCACAAGAACTTCATGAAGCATACACAAGTATCAATAGCTGAATCAATCAAGCAGGAGAAAGGATATCAGAGATTGAAGATCAACTCAATGAAATAAAGCAAGAAGACAAGATTAGAGAAAAAAGAGTGAAAAGAAATGAACAAAGCCTCCAAGAAATAGAGGACTATGTTAAAAGTCTGAATCTACGTTTGATTGGTGTACCTGAAAGTGACAGAAAGAATGGAACCAAGTTGGAAAAAACTCTTAAGGATATTATTCAGGAGAACTTCCCTAACCTAGCAAGACAGGCCAACATTCAAATTCAGGAAATACAGAGAACACCACTAAGATACTCCTCAAGAAGAGCAACCCCAAGACACAAAATCATCAGATTCATCAAGGTTGAAATGAAGGAAAAAATATTAAGGGCAGCCAGAGAGAAAGGTTGAGTTACCAACAAAGGGAAGCCCATCAGACTAACAGTGGATCTCTTGGCAGATAGCCTACAAGCCAGAAGAGAGTGGGGGCCAATATACGACATTCCTAAAGAAAAGAATTTTCAAGCCAGAATTTCATATCCAGCCAAACTAAGCTTCATAATTGAAGGAGAAATAAAATCCTTTACAAGCAAATGCTGAGAGATATTGTCACCACCAGGACTGCCTTACAAGAGTTCCTGAAGGAAGCACTAAACACGGAAAGGAACAACTGGTAACAGCCACTGCAAAAACATACCAAATTATAAAGACCATTGACACAATGAAAAAACTGCATCAACTAATGAGCAAAATAACCAGCTAGTATCATAATGACAGGATCAAATTCACACATAACAATATTAACCTTAAATGTAAATGAGCTAAATGTCCCCAGTTGAAAGACACAGTCTGGCAAATTGGATAAAGAGTCAAGACCCATCAATGTGTTGTATTCAGGAGACCCATCTCATACACATAGGCTCAAAATAAAGGGATGAAGAAACATTTACCAAGCAAGTGGAAAGCAACAAAAGGCAGGGGTTGCAATCCTAGTTTCTGATAAAACAGATCTTAAGCCAACAAAGATAAAAAGAGACAAAGAAGGGCATTACATAATGGTAAAGGGATCAATGCAACAAGAAGAGCTAACTATCCTAGACATATATGCACCCAATACAGGAGCACTCAGATTCATAAAGCAAGTTCTTAAAGACCTACAAAGAGACTTAGGCTCCCACACAATAATAGTGGGAGACTTTAACACTCCACTGTCAATATTAGATAGATGAGACAGAAAATTAACAAGAATATCCAGGACTTGAACTCAGCTCTGGACCAAGTGGACCTAAAAGATATCTACAGAACTCTCCACCCCAAATCAACAGAATTTACCTTCTTCTCAGCACCGCATTGTACTTATTCTAAAATTGACCACATAATTGGAAGTAAAACACTCCTCAGGAAATGCAAAAGAATGGAAATCATAACAAACAGTCTCTCAGACCACAATGCATTCAAATTAGTATTCAGGATTAAGAAACTCACTCAAAACCTCACAACTACATGGAAACTGGGCAACCTGCTCCTGAATGACTACTGGGTAAATAACGAAATGAAGGCAGAAATAAAGATGTTCTTCAAAACCAATGAGAACAAAGACACAACGTACCAGAATCTCTGGGACACATTTAAAGCAGTGTGTAGAGGGAAATTTATAGCACTAAATGCCCACAAGAGAAAGCAGGAAAGATCTAAAATTGACACCTTAACATCAAAATTAAAAGAACTAGAGAAGAAAGAACAAACAAATTCAAAAGCTAGGAGATGACAAGACATAAATAAGATCAGAGCAGAATTGAATGAGATAGAGACATGAAAAACCCTTCAAAACATCAATGAATCCAGGAGCTGGTTTTTCGAAAAGATCAACAAAACAGACCACTAGCCAGACTAATAAAGAAGAAAAGACAGAAGAATCAAATAGATGCAATAAAAAATGATTAAGGGGATATCACCACTGATCCCACAGAAATACAAATTATCATCAGAGAATACTACAAAGACTAAACCAGGAAGAAGTCAAATTCCTGAATAGACCAATAACAAGTTCTGAAATTGAGGCATTAATCAATAGCCTACGAACCAAAAAAAGTCCAGGACCAGACGGATTCACAGCCAAATTCTACCAGAGGTACAAAGAGGAGCTGGTACCATTCCTTCTGAAACTATTCCAAACAATAGAAAAAGAGAATCCTCCCTAACTCATTTTATGAGGCCAACACAACAAAAAAAGGAAATTTTAGGCCAATATCCCTGATGAACATCAATGCAGAAATCCTGAATAAAATACTGGAAAACTGAATCCAGCAGCACATCAAAAAGCTTGTCCACCATGACCAAGTTGGCTTCATCCCTGGGATGCAAGGCTGGTTCAACATGCAAATCAATAAATGTAATCCCTCACATAAACGGAATCAATGACAAAAACTACATGATTATCTCAATAGATGCAGAAAAGGCCTTTGACAAAATTCAACAGCCCTTCATGCTAAAAATTCTCAATAAACTGGTATTGATGGAACGTATCTCAAAATATTAAGTGCTATTTATGGCAAACCCACAGCCAATAACATACTGAATGTGCAAAAACTGGAAGCATTCCCTTTGAAAATCAGCACAAGACAAGGATGCCCTCTCTCACTACTCCTATTCCACATAGTGTTGGAAGTTCTGGCCAGGGTAATCAGGCAAGAGAAAGAAATACAGGGTGTTCAATTAGGAAAAGAAGAAGTCAAATTGTCTCTGTTTGCAGATAACATGATTATATATTTAGAAAACCCCATCGTCTCAGCCCAAAATCTCCTTAAGCTGATAAGCAACTTCAGCAAAGTTTCAGGATACAAAATTAATGTGCAAAAATCACAAGCTTTCTTATACACCAATAACAGACAAACAGAGAGCCAAACTATGAGTGAACTCCCATTCTCCATTGCTACAACAAGAATGAAATACCTAGGAATACAACTTACAAGGATGTGAAGGACCTCTTCAAGGAGAACTATAAACCACTCCTCAAGGAAACAAGAGAGGACACAAACAAATGGAAAAACATTCCATGCTCATCAATAGGAAGAATCAATATCGTGAAAATGGCCATACTACCCAAAGTAATTTATAGATTCACTGCTATCCCCATTAAACTCTATTGACTTTCTCCACAGAATTGGAAAAATATATTTTAAATTCCATATGGAATCAAAAAAGAGCCCGAATAGCCAAGACAATCCTAAGCAAAAAGAACAAAGCTTCAAGCATCATGCTACCTGACTTCAAACTATACTACAAGGCTATGATAAACAAAAGAGCATGGTACTGGTACCAAAACAGATATATAGATCAAAGGAACAGAACCGAACCCTCAGAAATAACACCACATATCTACAACCATCTGATCTTTGACAAACCTGAGAAAAACAAGCACTGAGGAAAGGATTCCCTATTTAATAAATGATGTTGGGAAAACTGGCTAGCCTTAGGCAGAAAGCTGAAACTGGATCCCTTCCTTACACCTTATATAAAAATTAACTCAAGATGAATTAAAGACTTAAACCTAATACCTAAAGCCGTAAAAACCCTAGAGGAAAACCTAGGCAATACCATTCAGGACATAGGCATGGGCAAAGACTTCATGACTAAAACACCAAAAACAATGGCAACAAAAACCAAAATTGACAAATGGGACCTAATTAAACTAAAGAGTTTCTGGACAGCAAAAGAAACTATGAGAGTGAAAGGGCAACCTACGAAATGGGAGAAAATTTTTGCAATCTATCCATCTGACAAAGACCTAATATCCAGAATCTACAAAGAACTTAAACAAATTTATAAGAAAGAACAATCCCATCAAAAAGTGGGCAAAGGATGTGAACAGACACTTCTTAAAAGAGGACAATTATGCAACCAAGAAACATATGAAAAAAAGCTCATCATCACTAGTCATTAGAGAAATGCAAATCAAAACCACAATGAGATGCCATCTCATGCCAGTTAGAATGGCAATCATTAAAAAGTCAGGAAACAAAAGATACTGGAGAGGATGTGGAGAAATAGGAAGGCTTTTACACTGTTGGTGGGAGTGTAAATTAGTTCAACCATTGTGGAAGACAGTGTGGCTATTCCTCAAGGATCTAGAACTAGAAATGCCATTTGGCCCAGCAATCCCATTACTGGGTATATACCCAAAGGATTATAAATCATTCTACCATAAAGACACATGCACACGTATGTTTATTGCAGGACTGTTCACAATAACAAAAACTTGGAACCAACCCAAATGCCCATCAATTATAGACTGGATAAAGAAAATGTGGCACATATACACCATGGAATACTATGCAGCCATAAAAAAGGATGAGTTCATGTCCTTTGTAGGGACATGGATGAAGCTGGAAACCTTCATTCTCAGCAAACTAACACAAGAATAGAAAACAAAACACCACATGTTCTCACTCATAAGTGGGAGTTGAACAACGAGAACACAAGCACACAGGGAGGGGAACATCACACACTGGGGCATGTTGGGGGTTGGGGGCGGGGGGAGGGATAGCATTAGGACAAATACCTAATATAGGTGATGGGTTGATGGGTGCAGCAAACCACCACAGCACATGTATACCTATGTAACAAACCTCAGCATTCTGCACGTGTACCCCACAACTTAAAGTATAATAAAAACGTAGGTTAAAAAAAAGTATTACAGACACAGTATGATGCAAATCTTTGACTTGGCTAGCCTCAAGGCTTTTAAAAGTCTAAGATTCCTTATTAGAAAGTTCCAACAAAGCCAATTTTAAGAAGCCTATATGGTCAATAAATATTCTTGCTGCACTTTATGCAAATAATCAGACCAGGTATGATAAGACTAAAACTTATTTTGCACAGAAATTTGTCCTACTATGGTTTGTCTTTGATAAAATGATGGACTAGAGAGACAAAATTCATGTTTCAAATGAAAACTGTGACATATGCTATTAGATTCCAGCCCTGATCATTCTTTTCCGAGTTTTTATTATTTGCCTATAATTTGGGCTGAATCCTGAATTATTTTCTGGCTCCAAGTGTTCCCTAGTGAACCCAGATAAAATATATTTTTAAAAAACTTGTTTTATCCTGTCAGTAATGAGATGTATTTTTGTAGGACTACTTAAACTAGCAATTACAATTCGATTATTATGATTATAGAATCTCGGGATTTATCTTCCTTCTTGTCAAGGTCTTTACCTGATGTTTGTCTCATTAAAAAAAAAAAAGAAATCAGACTGATTGCACTCTACTCAAGACTGAAGACATGTACTTTAACCTGTCTCTGTTACCAGTAAACCAAAGCCTTAAATTTCAGAATCCGTCAGGGACCCTGTGTGGTCCCTGGATCAAGCACACATGGGCTTATGAATGTGTTGACCGCTGGCATATGAGAGGTAATTGTCTATTAGGTTATGTGGCTCTTCCTCTTCCTATTTATAACTCCAATGTTTCTGAACGCTGAAGTAGTTCATCGAAATTATTTTCCAGGATTAGACAAACCATACCTGCAAACCAAGGAGATGAATTTTGGCCTATGTTTGGCAGAAATCTCTTGCAATGGTGGGGAGTAACCTCTCATGAACGTATAATTAGAAATCTGTCAACCACTCTAGGTAACTTAGCAAATGAACTAGCTGAAGCCATAGCTACCAAATAAAGATCTTCAGACTCTTTAGCCAGGATAGTCATGGATGACGGAATAACTTTAGGCTACATAGTGGTGAAACAGGGAGAAACTCATATGGCAGCTAGCTAACACTTCATGTTGTGTTTAGATCCATACATCTTCTGAAGTTGAAACACGTGTAAAAAAATAAGACGATATGGGAATTAATTATGACAAATCCTAGGGAAGAGGCTGAAAGAGCTGTAACACAAACAGGGCTGAGACATGCCCCTTGCTCGCCACATTGTGGGCAAAGAGAAGGAAAGAAGAGCTATGGCCCTTTGGGGAGCCCAGACCTGGGAGCTCCCTGAGCCAGAGCTGTGATTCCTTCTTTGGGGTCTTTGGTTCCTGATATCTCCAAGCTTCTGGGTGCCACTGTGTTCCCAGTGTGCCAGCTGTGGAAGCTTCTTGAGGTGCCCGTGGTCCAGCCACAGCCTTGTGGAGAGCTGGCGCCCGTGTTGGCACCTGGAGCTACCTGCTCCACTTCAGCAGCCAGCAAATCTGACTGCACAGTGGCCAGACCCCATGCTCACTCACACACCCCTTGCCACTCCATGCAGTCTCCCTTGGCAGGCATGGGATCCAACGTGGTAGCATGAGCAGAGCACAGCCTGCCAGGCTGAGTGTGCGGGGCCCAGCAAAACTCAGGCAAAGGTGCCACCAGTCATAGAGGTTTCTGTCCAGAAAAGTAACACCCCAAAGATCCCATAACACCGCTACTCTTCCCAGCCTCTGGAAACTCTCAGTCTACTCTCTATCTTGATGAGTTCAATTGTTTTAATTTTTAGCTCCCACAAATGAGTGAGAACATGCGAAGTCTGTCTTTCTGTGCCTGGCTCATTGTACTTAACATAATTGTCCTCTAGTTCCATCCATGTTGTTGCAAATGACAGAATCTTATTCTTTTTCATGGCCGAAGAGTACTCCATTGTGTATATGTACTACATTTTCTTTATCCCTTCATCTGTTGATGCACACTTAGGTTGCTTCCAAATCTTGGCTATTATGAATAGTGCTGAAATAAATATGGGAATGCAGATATCTCTTTGATATACTAATTTTCCCTCTCTTGGGTATATACCCAGCAGTGGGATTGCTGGATCATATGATAGTTCTATTTTTAATTTTTTGAGGGACCTCCATATTGTTCTCCATAGTGAATATATTAATTTACATTCCCACCAACAGAGTAAGAGTGTTCCCTTTTCCCCAAATTCTTGAAAGCATTTGTTATTGCCTGTCTTTTGCATAAAAGCCATTTTAATGGGGTAAGATGATATATTTTTGTAGTTTTGATTTCAATTTCTGTCATGATCAATGATATTGAGCATCTTTTCATATACCTATTTGACATTTATATATGTTCTTTTTTGTTTTTGCTCATTTTTTGAGACAGGGTCTCACTCTGTCACCCAGGCTGGAGTGCAGTGGTATGATCATGGCTTAATGTAGTGTTGACTGCCAGGGTTCAAGCAATCCTCCCACCTCAGCCTCCTGAGTAGCTGGGACCACAGTCATGCATCACCATGCCCAGGTAGTTTTTAAAATTATTTGCTATGTTGTTCAGGTTGGTCTTGAACTCCTGGGCTCAAGTGGCCCACCCGTCTTGGCTCCCCAAAGTTCTGGAATTACATGTGTCAGCCACTGCGCCTGACCTGTGTGCCTTCTTTTGAGAACTGTCTGTTCAGATCTTTTGCCTATTTAAATAATTGGATTGTTAGTTTTTTTCTTGTAGAGTTGTTTGAGCTCCTTATATATTCTGGTTATTAATCCCTTGTCAGTTATATAGTTTGCAAATATTTTCTTCCATTCTGTGGATTGTCTTTTCACTTTGTCCATTGTTTTCTTTACTGTGCAGAAACTTTTGAACTTGATGTGATACCACTTGTTCATTTTTGCTTTGGTTGCCTGAGCTTTTGGAGTATTACTCAAGAAATCTGTGCCAAGACCAATTTCCTGGAGAGTTTCCCTAATGTTTTCTTTCAGTAGTTTCGTGTCTTTGATTTAAGTCTTTAACCCATTTGGATTTGATTTTTGTATATAGTGCAAGAGAGGGTTCTAGTTTAACTATTCTGCCAATGACTTTGGGAGGCCAAGGTGGGCGGATCATGGGGGCAGGAGATCGAGACCATCCTGGCTAACACGGTGAAACTCCGTCACTACTAAAAGTACAAAAAAAAAATTAGCCAGGCGTGGTGGTGGGCACCTGTACTCCCAGCTACTTGGGAGGCTGAGGAGGAGAATGGTGTGAACCCGGGAGGTGGAGCTTGCAGTGAGCCCAGATCGCGCCACTGCACTCCAGCCTGAGCAACAGAGCTAGACTCCATCTCAAAAAAAAAAAAAATCTGCCAATGAATATCTAGTTTTCCCAGCACAATTTGTTGAAGAGACTGTACTCTCCCCCATGTATATTCTTGGCACCTTCATTGAAAATGAGTTAATTGTAAATGTATGGATTTATTTCTGGGTTCTCTATTCTGTTCCATTGGTCTATGTGTCTGTTTTATGCCAGTACCATGCTGTTTTGTTTATAATTGCTCTGTACTATAATTTAAAGTCAGGTGATGTGATTCTTCCAGTTTTGTTCTTTTTGCTCAGGATGGCTTTTGGTATTCTGGGTCTTTTATGGTTTCATGTAAATTTTAGGATTTTTTTTCTATTTCTGTGAAGAAAGTTATTAGTATTTCAATAGGGATTGCATTGAATCTGTAGATTGCTTTGTGAAGTATGGGTATTTTAACAATATTTACTCTTCCAATAAATGAACATGGACTATCTTTCCATTTTTTTTTTGGTGTCCTCTTTAATTTTTTTGCATCTATGTTTTATAGTTTTCATTGTAGAGATCTTTCACTTCTTCTGTTATGTTTATTCCCAGTTATTTTATTTTATTTGTAGCTATTGTAAATGGGATTACATTCTTGATTTTCTTCTTTAGATTGTTCATTTTTGTCATTTAGAAATGCTACTGACTTTTGTAGTTTGATTTTGTATGCTGTGACTCTGAATTTGTTGATCAGTTCTAATAGTTTTTTGGTGGAGTCCTTAGGTTTTTCCAAATATAAGAGCTAATCATCTGCAAACAAGAAACAGTAATAATTTTACTTCTTTCCAATTTGGATCCCTTTTATTGTTTTTCTCTTGTCTGAATTGCTCTAGCTAGGACTTCCAGTACTATGTTGAGTAACAGTGTTGGAAGTGGACATTCTTGTCTTGTTCCAGATCTTAGAAGAAAGGCTTTCAGCTTTTCCCTGTCCAGGATGATACTGGCTGTGGGTCTGTTGCATATGGTTTTCATTGTGTTGTGGTATGTTCCTTCTATATCTAGTTTTTTTTTGAGGGTTTCTTTTTATCACAGGGATGTTGAATTTTATTAAATCCTTTTCAGCATCAATTGAAATTATCATATGGTTTTTGTCCTTCATTCTGTTGATATGATGTGTCACATTGATTGATTTGCATACATTGAACCATGTTGGCATCCTTGGGATAAATCCCACTTAGACATGATGAATGGTCTTTTTCATAGGATGAGTTTGGAAATACTACAGCCTTCTCTGTTTTTTTGGAATAGTTTGAGTAGGATTGATAGTAATTCTGCCTTCAATGTTTGGTAAAATTAATCAGTGAAGCCAGTGAAGCCATTGAATCCAGGCTTTTCTTTGCTAGGAGATGTTTTATTACGGCTTCAATTTCATTTATCCATTTCTTCTAGGTTTTTTTTTTTTTTTTGAGATGGAATCTTGCTCTGTCACCCAGACTGCAGCGTGGTACAATCTCAGCTCACTGCAACCTCTGCCTCCCAGGTTCAAGTGATTTTCCTGCCTCAGCCTCTAGAGTAGCTGGAAGTACAGGTGCATGCCACCATGCCTGGCTAATTTTTGTATTTTTAGTAGAGATGGGGTTTCACCATGTTGACCAGGCTGGTCTTGAACTACTGACCTCAGGTGATCACCTGCCTTGGCTTCCCAAAGTGTTGGGATTACAGGCATGAGCCACGGTGCCCAGCCATTTCTTCCAGGTTTTTCAATTTATTGGAATATAGTTGGTCATAATAGTTTCTAATGATTCTTTGAATTTCCACAGTATCAGTTATAGTGTCTCCTTTTTAATCTCTGGTTTTATGTATTTGAATCTTCTCTCTTTTTTCTTAGTCTGGTTAAGTGTTTGTTGATTTTGTTGGTCTTTTAAAAATATTAACTTTTCATTTCATTGATATTTTATATTTTTAAATTTCAATTTCATTTATTTCTGCTCCGATCTTTGCTATGTTTCCTTCTACTAATTTTGGTTTTGGCTTGCTCTTGCTTTTCTAATTATTTAAGATGCATTATTAGGTTGTTTATTTGAAGCTTTTCTACTTTTTTTGATGTAGGTGCTTTTATCTATAAACTTACCTCTTAGTACTGTAGTACTGTTTTTACTGTATCCCATAGGTTTTTTTTTTTTTTTTTTTTTTTTTTTTTTTGAGACGGAGTCTCGCTCTGTTGCCCAGGCTGGAGTGCAGTGACGCGATCTCGGCTGACTGCAAGCTCCGCCTCCCAGGTTCACGCCATTCTCCCGCCTCAGCCTCCCGAGTAGCTGGGACTACAGGCGCCTGCCTTCACACCCGGCTAATTTTTGTTTTTTGTATTTTTAGTAGAGACGGGGTTTCACCGAGTGCGCCCGGCCTGTACCCTAGGTTTTGGTTTGACTTTAAACTTTTTCTTTTCTCGAAAACTCAGTGTCATGGTACCGGCTTCTTGTGCTTTGGGCAGTGAGACCCTTTTACTTGATAACAGTGGTAGCTGGGACAAGTTGGCAATGTAAATAAATAAACAACATCTAGATTGGAAAGGAAGAAGTACAGTTATCTTTATGTACAGATGACATGATCTTGCATTTAGAAAATCGTAAGAAATTTACTAAAAAGTATTAGGACTCATGAACAAACTTAAGAATGTAACACTATATAAGATTGGTATACAAAAATAACTGTATTTCTTTACCAATAAATCAAGAATCCAAAAATGGAATTAAAAAAATAAATCTTGTTACAATAGAATTAAAGCTGGGGAAGCTTAAACTTGAACACTAAAAACTACAATACATGGTTAGCGTTGGAAACACCCAGATACCATCCCTGAGCCTTCTCTCCTTGGCTCTGAGGGCTTTACCTTCACGGGGTGAGGAAAGGGGTTGCATTCTTGGCTTTTACATTATATTAGGTGGGTTCGGGTTGAGGTATCTGCATTTCAAATGAGTATTACAATCTCTACTTTTATGGATAAGAGACTGAGGCCCACCAAGAGAGGGAATGACAGTCCATATCCTGGAAGGCGAATTGTCAGGCACTGATTTCCGCTATTTAACCCCTGCCAATCATCATGTATTTAAAGGATCCCCAGATACCATACCAATAGGTGTTCAAGAGAGAGGCCTGTAATCTAGGCGTCTGAGAAAACAAGGCTAGAGATTCCAATATTGGAGACAACAGGGCTCTGGGAAGATTAAGGTTGAGTTTTCTGGATCTGCAGAATAGAGTCACTGAGGACCAATTGCAAGATCAGAGGAGATGAAAGAACAAGTCAGGGCATGCTTAGGAAAAGAGAATACCAGGGATAGGTTTTAGGCAAGAGTCACACTGAGGAAGGGCAGGTTCTTGGCGTCGTTTAGGAAGAAATCCAAAAGCAAGCCTGTGGTGGAAGAAAGCAGCTCTACGGAGGCATTGGCGGTGTTACAGCACAGCGTCCACTCCGGCAGGGCAGGGAGCCCTCCGTGGGTTGTGCTCCCAGAGCAGCAGCCTAGGGGTGGCTTGTAGTCATTTTTATAATTCACTTTTAATGGCATGCTAATTAAGGGGCGGGTTATTCAGAAATAGCTAGAAATGGGCAGTAACTTCCATCTGTTTCCATGGCAAGGGGTGGGGAATTCTCGTGATGACATGGCATTGGCAAACTGTCATGGCACTGGTGGGAGCGTCTTCTGGTGATCTGAGGCGTGAGGTGCTTTCGCTGCCTCTCCCAGGTTCCTGCGTGCCTCTTACCTGAAAGCCCATCACACCCCCATCTGCCCACCTACAAACGTCACTGCCCTTTCACCCCATCCCCGTTTCACACGCACTCCCACATCAACCCTGAGCATTCAAGCCTGCATTTCCCTGTTAGGAACCTCGGTGGTAGCCGGAGCTCTGAGAAACCCCTAGGCAGAACTCCTTGCCTAGTTTGTGGCAGACATCAGGGAAGGAAAGGCAAATTTCAGGTCTTTCTCACAATAAATAAATAAAGATAGGTAGATTTGATTGATGGATGGATGGATGAAACCTGGGAGTCTACGGGCAAATATTTATCAGACACTGGAAGTGTAAGTTGTCACAAAGATTATGGAGTGCACCTGTCTTATGACCCTGTTATTTTATCCTAGTATGTGCACTAGAGCATATTTTCTAACAGTGTAAATTGAAGGCTCACAAATTAGTTTAGTGAGAGAAAAGATAACGGATTGGAAGAGAATTACCATATTCATTAGTTGTGTTTTAAAATTTTTAAAGTAAAATAGAGACATTATTTTTTTCATGCTTTCGAATGCATCTATAAAAAATAGACTTGAGGGCTGGGCGCAGTGGCTCACGCTTGTAATCCCAGCACCTTGGGAGGCCGAGGAGGGCGGATAACGAGGTCAGGAGTTGGAGACCAGCCTGACTAACATGGTGAAAACCCGTCTCTACTAAAAATACAAAAATTAGGCGAGTGTGGTGGCACGCGCCTGTAATCCCAGGTACTTAGGAGGCTGAGGCAGGAGAATCGCTTGAACCCGGGAAGCGGAGGTTGCAGTGAGCCGAGATCGCACCATTGCACTCCAGCCTGGGCGACAGAGTGAGACTCCTTCTCAAAAAAAAAAAAAAAAAAAAAAACAACTTATTCATAGCATAGACCAATTGGCCTCTATTGAAATTTCTCCATTATTTTCACAATGTCCCAGGCTGTGAAACCAGGATTTAATAAAGAACCAGAATGCCACATCTGTGTCACCTGGGTAGGGACCAGTCCTGATACATTAAGTCCGGGTCTCTGGGTAACTGGACTCAACTGCTGGGCAAAACAGAATGTCCGGCTTGGGTTCCTAACGGGGTACCGCAAAGTCTCATGGGAATTGTAGTGTCACCTTCCAATGATGTTACCATCAAGGACCTTGGGAACCAGCTTTTCTCTCTGCGCTTGCGCCGCCCGGCCCACTCCGCCATTTTCCTCCGGAAGTGCGGCACCCAGAGGCGGTCCTGTAGCCGGGCCGGCTTGGGGCTTGGTTCTATGTCCCTGCGGGTCGGTGCAAGGGCGAAGAGGAACCCGTGGGCCTCAGGGGATCCCGGGGGGCCGGACCAGTGTTCCCTAGTTGTGGGAGCAGACGCGTGGGCACATTGCGGGCGGGCAGGGCCTGAAGTGCAGGTGCGGGCAGTGGACCCTGGCGGGGGCTGGGAGGACAGGCGTGGGGTCCCGGCAGTGAAACGGGTTCTAGAGGCGCAGGAGCAGGTAGGAGAGGCCGGTGGCCCTGGGCCCGGAGTCTGCAGGCCGCGCTCCTGTCCTGCCGCTGAGGGACCCGGTTACCAACCTGCATGACGCTCAGTTTGCCCATCTGTCCCAGTGGTAACACACAGTTCTCGGGAGACGTTCCCCATTCCCAGAGGAGTAGTGTGAAACGCGTGCGCCTCTAGTCTTAAACTTGGCGTTTGTATTAGTTGGGTTTCCTGGTGTCTCTTTAGCAAGTGAAGTTTCTGGTTCCCTTCTTCACTGTGTGACCTGCCTAGTCCTCCTGGGTCGCATTTACAGAAGTTTATACGAGACCTAGTTTCCAGGGAAGAACTCACTGATTCCGCGAGGGAGATGGCTTAATGGATGATGGTCGTCAGCCTTAAGGATACTTCAGTCTTAACTGTGTGTTACAAAGTTTGAAAGGGAGGGTTCCCTATGAATAAGAAGCACACTTGAAAGAACAGCCATCTGGTCTAACCTCTCACTGGTGCTTCAGAGGAGGAAAAAAGGTCACAGGTGAAGATCCCAGTTTTCCTTGCTCAGGAAATATTAATTCTACTCCCTAGAATGCACAAGATTTGCAAAGACTAGGTGATAGTAGAAGGTTTGGACGAACTTTCAGAAGGTTGAGGTGAATTCAGCTAAGAAGAACAGGCAAGGACTTAGGAAATATTCCTTATTTGAAGGGGCCTGAAAGTGTGGTCTGGGGTACAGCAGTGACCTGTCATACTTGAGAGGATTAAAATACTCTCCAAACACAGTCCCATTCCTTCAACCTTAGCTCGTTTTTTCCAGCGTCTGAGATATATTAAACCTAGTCCATCCCCAAATTTAACATTAGATTGCGAAGTTCTATTGATTGTATTTGATTTGTAATTTAACATTTTCTCCCCCTACGTAATTTTGTTAAAAACACAGAAGTGAATTCTGTTCACTTAGGTGTAACAGTTAATACTTGCTGTTTAAGGAACTAATTAAACCTTACTGGCTTATAAAAAACAACCACCATTTTATTTGTTCGAAGTTCTGTGGATCTGCACTTTGGTGTGGTGGGTTCAGCTGGGTAGTTAATATATTTGTGTTGCCTGGATCACAAAAAGGCCTCAGTCACCTGGTGCCTTGACTGAGCCTGGTTGGTTTAAGATAGTTTACTTCACAATCTGGTGGTTTGTGGTGACTCTTGGCTAGGCCCTGTGTCTCCAACAGGGTAGCTCCAGACCTCTTCACAATTTCCCCCAAAAAGGAAAGAACCAATGGATATTTGCATCACATTTTCCATTTTCCATTCACTGGACAAGTCAGATGGAAAAGCCCAATTTATTGTCAGAGCATAATATGAGGGCTTGGATAGAAGGAAAGGTGTTATTGGGAAACATGAGTAGAATGGTGTACTGCAGGAAATACATATTATGTACATTTTAAAAAACGTAATTGTAGGCCAAAATTGCTGGTTTGCAAGATGCACTTTCCATGATGTTCAGGTATAGAAAAGCAAGATGTACTGTCATGGGAACACTCATATGAAGTTATTTGTGGAATCTACATATTAATAGGAAAATAGTTAATACAGCCCAGTATATTTCTATAACATTTATTTTAGTGAACTTATAATGTTTCTTTGTATTAAATTATTAGATTATATCTTTAGATAATATTGTTACTAAATTAGTAGGTAATATATATTTTTATTCAAAAATAAATTGTGCATCTAATGTCTACCAATTAATGTACTTGTAGATGTATCTTATCTTAACTTGAGTCTTTGCTGCCCCTAATGAGGTGTGAAGGACTCTTCTCCCCTGGGGAAGTTTTTCTTTTTCAGGAGGGAGGAGGGCTTTCCCAGGTAATGTGTCTAGAGTGTTGGGCAGAAGAATCTGGGACCACACCACACCAGTTCTCTCCTTAATCCACGTCATTTGCCTTCTATCCCAGCTATGTTTCCAGTGTCCTCTGGGTGTTTCCAAGAGCAACAAGAAATGAATAAATCTCTGGTGAGTTGTTTATTTGTTCTTCACTTTGTTTTACACTGTATTTTCTGAGTTTATGGGTGTCTGTGAATTAAAAAGGAAAAGTAGAAATAAGTAAAACTCAGGTTGAAGGAAATATACATAAATAAGATAAAGCTGACCTGTAGATATAGGCAGGTTATAAGAGCTTAGAGTTGTCTAAGTTGAGTGCAAATTTTCCTCTGATCTTTCTGATGCCGAGACAAAAAAGGCAGTCATGTTTGTTATGTGATTGGAATGGAACCCGAGAAGAGAGCATGCTGTGTTCTTGTGGGACAGGAAAGCTTGCGTGCACCAAGTCTGAACCACCACCTTCATTGGTGACATAGATTATGTGCTGGAACATATTTCACACCGGCCTGGCAGTAAACACTTGTAGTGTTGTGCAGTGGAAACGGTCATCTTCCGCTAAAGCACGGCGTGTTGTGCAGCGGAAATGGTCATCTGCTGCTAAAACACAGCTTCCATCGTAATGTATGCTCCTTACTCAAAGAGTGTGGTCCCAAACAGCCTTTGGGAGGTCCTCCTTGATTCATGGATGAAACCTGGAACATCTTGAGGACTGAGTTAACCATAGGTCCTTAAATAACTCTCCACACGTTTTTCTTAGTTTATCTCTACATGCAGGGTGTGCAGCAGCCTGTTCAAAGTCATATTTTCTGGGAAATATTTCCAGTGTTTATTTGCACTTTAGCCCACTCTGTGTAGCCTTATTTCTTCTAAACTCACCATTAATCTGAATAATAGTCAAATTTAGGGGGACTGTATTTGCCTTACTCGAGTCTTCTACCATAGTTGAAACTGTCGTACCCGAGTGAGTTAGAGAGAAATGCCACGCATTGAGACGAATTCAGGAGTCCTTTACTAGCCAGCGACTGAGACATGGCTAACGCACGAAATTCTCTCGGCCCTGAAGAAGGGACTAGATTTTCTTTTATACTTTGGTTTAGAGAGGGGAGGGGGGATTCTAGCTGCAGCAACTTTACAGAAGAAAAAAACAGACAAAAAACTTAGAAAAACAGATGGTTACAGGAAAACAAACTGTTCCTGGTGTAGGGTCTTTAAATTCACCACAAAGTGATAGGTGAGGGGGCTCTGGGCATTATCTGCCGGACAAATGTGGGGGCTTTATGATACTATCTCTGAGTAAATTGCTGGGAACTGGGGACATCTCTTGTCTCAGCACTTTATCAGTTAATTGCACGCTTTGATATGTTGAAAATCAGCTTGCACAAGTTAAAGTCCTTGAGGAAAGGGGGTGGGTAAGGAGTCCTTGATGTCTTGTTAATGAAGGAGCCAAATGGAGTTTGTCTGGTTTTCTCAGCTAAGGGAGAGTCTATTCATATTAAAAACAAGGTTAGCTGTCTAAGGAAGAGTCTATTCATGTTAATACAACGTTGGGTATTACAAAACGTCTGTTCATGATCTGGAAATTCTTCTGTGTTAGTTCTGTTAAAAGAAAAACTTTAAAGGAGTTTAATTTAGCAATAAAGCGATTCATGAATCGGACAGTCCCCAGAATCACAGCAGATTCACAGAGACTCCAGTGCAGTCATGTGGTGGAAGAAGATTTATAGACAAAAGGGAAGTGGCATACCGAAATCGGAAGTGAGGTACAGAAACAACTCAGCGTTTGCCTTGTTTGAACACATTTTGAACATTTGGCAGTGCCTGAGTGGTTGAAGTTTGGCCATTGGGATTGGCCAAGATGTAGCTGTTGTTCCAGGTGCATACTCTTAAGTTAGTTTTTCATTCTTGTATACCTATTAAGGTAGGTTGCAGTTCACCCACAAGGACTCATATATAGAATTATGGAGTCCTTCTCAGGCCATACTTAGTTCACTTTAACAATGCCTTCCCTTTGGTTATTTTCTCAATTTTGAGAGATTGGCCGAAACTTCAGTCACTGGTGTCACTATTACCATTGCAAATGTACTTACTTGGTTTAGAAACCCACTGGGAAATAGACCAGTGAGATTTGAAAAGGTGGAACAAGGACTTGAGTAGAAGGTATCTTCTTATGCTGGAACATCCTGTTTACAGGAGAAAAACAAAACCTGGTTTGTTCTAGGATTTATGTGTTTCCCTAAAGTCTTAGTTTCATTATGTTACATTTAGCATGAGTGACTCCATTTTGGTTTGGTTTGGTTTGGTCTGTTGGGACCTATTGCATGAGCTTAGTTCAAAACAATGGCCTCCCATAATTTTGCTTTAAAAATTCCTCCTTTTTGCTGGGTGTGGTGGCTCACACCTGTAATCCCAGCACTTTGGGAGCCTGAGGTGGGCAGATCACGAGGTCAGGAGATTGAGACCATCCTTGCTAATATGGTGACACCCCATCTCTACTAAAAATACAAAAAATTAGCCAAGTGTGGTGGCGGGTGCCTGTATTCCCAGCTACTCAGGAGGCTGAGGCAGGAGAATGGCCTGAACCTGGGAGGCAGAGCTTGCAGTGAGCCAAGATCATGCCACTGCACTCCACTCTGGGGGACAGACCAAAACTCTGTCTTAGAAAAAAAAAATCCTCCTTTTCAGTCAAGTTCTCACTTAGTTGAGAGTGTGACCAAAATGTAGGGCCTTAGCATCACTCTTAGTTACCATTGTTTTGGGTTCCAGTTTTAGCATGTCATTCCCATTGTTTTGGGTTTCTGGTTTAGCACATCACTCCCATTGTTTTGGGTTCCGGTTTTAGCACGTCATTCCCATTGTTTTGGGTTTCTGGTTTAGCACGTCACTCTCATTGTTTTGGGTTCCTGTTTTAGCACGTCACTCCCATTGTTTTGGGTTCTGGTTTAGCACGTCACTCACATTGTTTTGGGTTCTGGTTTTAGCACCTCACTCCCATTGTTTTGGGTTTCCAGGTTTTAGCACGTCACTCCCATTGTTTTGGGTTTCTGGTTTAGCACGTCACTCCCATTGTTTTGGGTGTCTGGTTTTATCACGTCACTCCCATCGTTTTGGGTTTCTGGTGTAGCAGGACACTCCCATTGTTTTGGGTTTCTGGTTTTAGCACTTCACTCCCATTGTTTTGGGTTTCTGGTTTAGCAGGACCCTCCCATTGTTTTGGGTTTCTGGTTTTAGCATGTCACTCCCATTGTTTTGGGTTCCGGTTTTAGCACGTCACTCCCATTGTTTTGGGTTCCGGTTTAGCACGTCATTCCCATTGTTTTGGGTTCAGGTTTTAGCACATCACTCCCATTGTTTTGGGTATCTGGTTTTAGCATGTCACTCCCATTGTTTTGTGTATCTGGTTTTAGCACCTCACTCCCATTGTTTTGGGTTTCCAGGTTTTAGCACGTCACTCCCATTGTTTTGGGTTTCTGGTTTATCATGTCACTCTCATTGTTTTGGGTTTCTGGTTTAGCAGGACGCTCCCATTGTTTTGGGTTTCTGGTTTTACACGTCACTCCCATTGTTTTGGGTTTCTGGTTTAGCAGGACACTCCCATTGTTTTGGGTTTCTGCTTTAGCAGGTCACTACCATTGTTTTGGGTTCCGGTTTAAGCACATCACTCCCATTGTTTTGGGTTCCGGTTTTAGCACATCACTCCCATTGTTTTGGATTTCTGGTTTAGCAGGTCACTCCCATTGTTTTCGGTTCTGGTTTAAGCACATCACTCCCGTTGTTTAGGGTTCTGGTTTTAGCACCTCACTCCCATTGTTTGGGTTTCTGGTTTTGCAGGTCACTCCCATTGTTTTGGGTTCCAGTTTAAGCACATCACTCCCATTGTTTTCGTTTCCGGTTTTAGCACGTCACTCTCATTGTTTTGGGTTCCAGTTTTAGCAAGTCACTCCCATTGTTTTGGGTTTCTGGTTTAGCATGTCACTCCCATTGTTTTGGGTTTCCAGTTTAGCATGTCACTCATAGGTTATGGTGGCCTTATGGTTGCACATTTCTTTTAATCTCTTGTCATTCCAGTTGAAGAGATACCATTTGACATTTTAGAGATGGCTGCATGCAAACTCTTGAAACATTTGAGTAAGTACAGTACACCAGGGAGACTCTTATGACTATTGGGATAACACCAAGATGTGGTATATGCTCCTTACTCAGGGTCCCCATAAATCAAACCACCAAAAATCAAATAGATTAAAGAATGAATTAGATAAAGGGTTTACTTGCTTAACTAAGTGGTTTTTTTTTGTTAATTCCCTACAACCAAATCTTTATAATACCCCATGTTTTCTCCACATGCTGTAAGTGTTAGCAGCTGCACAGATACTTAAGATAAGAGTCTCATGATAGTAGAGAAGTCTTGATCTGTGATCTTGGGAAAAGCTGTTCACATTAAGGATGCCATCTTCTTCTGGGGGGAACTGTCCGTGTTAGCTTTACCTTAAGGGTTCCAATAGGCATATGGTTCTGAGTGTGGAGGGACCCTTCTGAGTTGTGAGACTATGAACCCAAAGTTTAAGGTTTTAAAGTTTTGTTGTCATGTGGATGGCGAGGGCAGTCCTTCTCTGATGTTCTCAGAAGATCCAGTCATCAGATTCTAGATTTTGAAGGGTTTGACTGTCCTCAGTGAACCATAAAAGGCTTTCTTTACCTGGTGAAAATACACTTCAGGGTAATAATCTACTGTTTTAACATCAACTCTCTCGCATGGAAGAGCTTTTATACAATCAGAAAACATGCACTGAAAATGACAACTGAATGAAATCCCTTTATAAAATGTTTAAATGGCCCATCAGATAACCAAATGTACCTGAAGTTTTGATTGTTTTCCTAGGAATATAGGTTTCACAAACCAAACATTGGTTATAAACTATTTTAGCAGTTTAGAAATCACCACACCAATATATTTAATTTGGATCGTTTTCTCTTTCTGTGATGAGTTATGGAATGCAGAACTTTTAATAACAAAAGTTTTTAGGACTTAAGAAGGATAAGGTGGCCATCCTGGTTCTTTATAGGTCTGTGCTTAATTAACATCAGACTTACATCCTCTTGAATACCAGCTGTTTCTCCAAATTAGGTGCATGGCACTGGTAACTGATGAGTAGTTATAGGTAATTTGATTTAGACCATGGAGTTTATTTAAATTATATATCTAAACAATTTCAATATTGGTGATTTAGCATGAAAATGTGGCATAATATTTCCTTGGTATACAATTTTTGTTTTACTTGGGTTAGCAGTTTTACAAACCAGTTGGTCTTTTTATTAAATTTTTGATATTTTTTTTTTTGAGACAGAGTCTCACTCTGTTACCTAGGTTGGAGTGCAGTGGCACAATCTTGGCTCACTGCAACCTCTGCCTCCTGGGCTCAAGCAATTCTCTTGCCACAGCCTCCCGAGTAGCTGGGATTACAGGCACATACCACCACACCCAGCTAATTTTTGTATTTTTAGTAGAGGTGGGGTTTCACCTTTGGCCAGGCTGGTCTCAAACTCCTGACCTCAAGTGATCCACCGGCCTTGGCCTCCTAAAGTGCTGGGATTGCCGACATGAGCCGCTGCACCCAGCCTAACTGTTGAGAATTCTTAGCCAGTCCAATTCTTGGGGTATCGGGGAACTTATGGGGAATTTTTACCCATGATATTAAAGTTATTAGAAATCTGTGTTCACGAGTGTTTTTCAGGGTCATTTTCATTCTTTCATGAATCTTCTAAGAGACACCATACTCTAGAATTTTGCATGCTTGTGAAGTTTTTAGAAACTGCATCACTATTAAGCAATTAACTGTGAAATGACTTTAGTTATAGTTAAAGACAATTGACAAGGAAATTTGGTTATTTCTGTGGTCTACAATAACTTAATAACCATAATTAGGGTGGATGTGGTGGCTCATGCCTGTAATCCCAGCACTTTGGGAGGCCGAGGTGGAAGGATCATGAGGTCAGGAGATCGTGACCATCCTGGCTAACACGGTGAAATCCATCTTTACTAAAAATACAAAAATTAGCCTGGCATGGTGGTGGGTGCCTGTAGTCCCAGCTACTCGGGAGGCTGAGGCAGGAGAATGGCATGAACCCGGGAGGCGGAAGTTGCAGTGAGCCGAGATTGCGCCACTGTACTCCAGCCTGGGTGACAGAGCAAGACTCCATCTCAGAAAAAAAAAAAATACAAGAATTTTAGAAATCCTACACTATTTTAGAATGGATTGATGACACACACTAAATATAACCTGAGGAAGGTTCCACATTATTTTTTATTTTGACAGTGCTACCCATGTGACTTAACATGTTAAATAGTCCTGTTTACCTCTCTTTTGGGTGCTTCAGGGGTCTCTGTAGTATCCCAAAATTAGAGGTCAGAAAAGACAATTTTGAAGTTGAAATTTGATTTTGGGAAGCCTATTAAATATATTAAAGGTTTAAACACTTGATGTTATGAAATAGAATTCCACGTCACCGTAAGTCATTCATTTACCAAAAATCATGACAAAAAATTTTTATTATTTTTTTATTTTTATTTTTTATTATACTTTTAGTTTTAGAGTACATGTGCACATTGTGCAGGTTAGTTACATATGTATACATCTGCCATGCTGGTGTGCTGCACCCACTAACTCGTCATCTAGCATTAGGTATATCTCCCAATGCTATCCCTCCCCCCTCCCCCCACACCACAACAGTCCCCAGAGTGTGATATTCCCCTTCCTGTGTCCATGTGATCTCATTGTTCAATTCCCACCTATGAGTGAGAATATGCAGTGTTTGGCTTTACGTTCTTGCAATAGTTTACTGAGAATGATGATTTCCAATTTCATCCATGTCCCTACAAAGGACATGAACTCATCATTTTTTATGGCTGCATAGTATTCCATGGTGTATATGTGCCACATTTTCTTAATCCAGTCTATCATTGTTGGACATTTGGGTTGGTTCCAAGTCTTTGCTATTGTGAATAATGCCGCAATAAACCTACGTGTGCATGTGTCTTTATAGCAGCATGATTTATAGTCCATTGGGTATATACCCAGTAATGGGATGGCTGGGTCAAATGGCATTTCCAGTTCTAGATCCCTGAGGAATCGCCACACTGACTTCCACAATGATTGAACTAGTTTACAGTCCCACCAACAGTGTAAAAGTGTTCCTATTTCTCCACGTCCTCTCCAGCACCTGTTGTTTTCTGACTTTTTAATGATTGCCATTCTAACTGGTGTGAGATGGTATCTCATTGTGGTTTTCATTTGCATTTATCTGATGGCCAGTGATGATGAGCATTTTTTCATGTGTTTTTTGGCTGCATAAATGTCTTCTTTTGAGAAGTGTCTGTTCATGTCCTTCGCCCACTTTTTGATGGGATTGTTTGTTTTTTTCTTGTAAATTTGTTTGAGTTCATTGTAGATTCTGGATATTAGCCCTTTGTCAGATGAGTAGGTTGCGAAAATTTTCTGCCGTTTTGTAGGTTGCCTGTTCACTCTGATGGTGGTTTCTTTTGCTGTGCAGAAGTTCTTTAGTTTAATAAGATCCCATTTGTCAATTTTGGCATTTGTTGCCATTGCTTTTGGTGTTTTAGACATGAAGTCCTTGCCCATGCCTATGTCCTGAATGGTAATGCCTAGGTTTTCTTCTAGGGTTTTTATGGTTTTAGGTCTAACGTTTAAGTCTTTAATCCATCTTGAATTGATTTTTGTATAAGGTGTAAGGAAGGGATCCAGTTTCAGCTTTTTACATATGGCTAGCCAGTTTTCCCAGCACCATTTATTAAATAGGGAATCCTTTCCCCATTTCTTGTTTTTCTCAGGTTTGTCAAAGATCAGATAGTTGTAGATATGCGGCATTATTTCTGAGGGCTCTGTTCTGTTCCATTGATCTATATCTCTGTTTTGGTACCAGTACCATGCTGTTTTGGTTACTGTAGCCTTGTAGTATACTTTGAAATCAGGTAGTGTGATGCCTCCAGCTTTGTTCTTTTGGCTTAGGATTGACTTGGCGATGTGGGCTCTTTTTTGGTTCCATATGAACTTTAAAGTAGTTTTTTCCAATTCTGTGAAGAAAGTCATTGGTAGCTTGATGGGGATGGCATTGAATCTGTAAATTACCTTGGGCAGTATGGCCATTTTCAAGATATTGATTCTTCCTACCCATGAGCATGGAATGTTCTTCCATTTGTTTTTATCCTTTTTTATTTCCTTGAGCAGTGGTTTGTAGTTCTCCTTGAAGAGGTCCTTCACATCCCTTGTAAGTTGGATTCCTAGGTATTTTATTCTCTTTGAAGCAATTGTGAATGGGAGTTCACTCATGATTTGGCTCTCTGTTTGTCTGTTGTTGGTGTATAAGAATGCTTGTGATTTTTGTACATTGATTTTGTATCCTGAGACTTTGCTGAAGTTGCTTATCAGCTGAAGGAGATTTTGGGCTGAGACGATGAGGTTTTCTAGATATACAATCATGTCGTCTGCAAACAGGGACAATTTGACTTCCTCTTTTCCTAATTGAATACCCTTTATTTCCTTCTCCTGCCTAATTGCCCTGGCCAGAACTTCCAACACTATGTTGAATAGGTGTGGTGAGAGAGGCCATCCCTGTCTTGTGCCAGTTTTCAAAGGGAATGCTTCCAGTTTTTGTCCATTCAGAATGATATTGGCTGTGGGTTTGTCATAGATAGCTCTTATTATTTTGAAATGCGTCCCATCAATACCTAATTTATTGAGAGTTTTTAGCATGAAGGGTTGTTGAATTTTGTCAAAGGCCTTTTCTGAATCTATTGAGATAATCATGTGGTTTTTGTCTTTGGCTCTGTTTATATGCTGGATTACATTTATTGATTTGTGTATATTGAACCAGCCTTACATCCCAGGGATGAAGCCCACTTGATCAAGTTGCATAAGCTTTTTGATGTGTTAATGGATTCGGTTTGCCAGTATTTTATTGAGGATTTTTGCATCAATGTTCATCAAGGATATTGGTCTAAAATTCTCTTTTTTGGTTGTGTCTCTGCCTGGCTTTGGTGTCAGAATGATGCTGGCCTCATTAAATGAGTTAGGGAGGATTCCCTCTTTTTCTGTTGATTGGAATAGTTTCAGAAGGAATGGTACCAGTTCCTCCTTGTGCCTCTGGTAGAATTCGGCTGTGAATCCATCTGGTCCTGGACTCTTTTTGGTTGGTAAGCTATTGATTATTGCCACAATTTTGGCTCCTGTTATTGGTCTATTCAGAGATTCAACTTCCTGGTTTAGTCTTCGGAGAGTGTATGTGTCGAGGAATTTATCCATTTCTTCTAGATTTTCTAGTTTATTTGCGTAGAGGTGTTTGTATTATTCTCTGATGGTATTTAGTATTTTGCTGGGATTGGTGGTGATATCCCCTTTATCATTTTTTATTGCATCTATTTGATTCTTCTCTCTTTTTTTCTTTATTAGTCTTGCTAGAGGTCTATCAATTTTGCTGATCCTTTCAAAAAACCAGCTCCTGGATTCATTAATTTTTTGAAGGGATTTTGTGTCTCTATTTCCTTCAGTTCTGCTCTGATTTTAGTTATTTCTTGCCTTCTGCTAGCTTTTGAATGTGTTTGCTCTTGCTTTTCTAGTTCTTTCAATTGTGATGTTAGGGTGTCAATTTTGGATCTTTCCTGTTTTCCCTTGTGGGCATTTAGTGCTATAAATTTCCCTCTACACAGTGCTTTGAATGCGTCCCAGAGATTCTGGTATGTTGTGTCTTTGTTCTCATTGGTTTCAAAGAATATCTTTATTTCTGCCTTCATTTCCTTATGTACCCAGTAGTCATTCAGGAGCAGGTTGTTCAGTTTCCATGTAGTTGAGCAGTTTTGAGTGAGATTCTTAATCCTGAGTTCTAGTTTGATTGCACTGTCATCTGAGAGATAGTTTCTTATAATTTCTGTTCTTTTACATTTGCTGAGGAGAACTTTACTTCCAAGTATGTGGTCAATTTTGGAATAGGTGTGGTGTGGTGCTGAAAACATGTATATTCTGTTGATTTGGGGTGGAAAGTTCTGGAGATGTCTGTTAGGTCCGCTTGGTGCAGAGCTGAGTTCAATTCCTGGGTTTGCTTTTTGACTTCCTGTCTTGTTGATCTGTCTAATGTTGACAGTGGGGTGTTAAAGTCTCCCATTATTAATGTGTGGGAGTCTAAGTCTCTTTGTAGGTCACTCAGGACTTGCTTTATGAATCTGCATGCTCCTGTATTGGGTGCATATATATTTAGGATAGTTAGCTCTTCTTGTTGAATTGATCCCTTTACCATTATGTAATGGCCTTCTTTGTCTCTTTTGATCTTTCTTGGTTTAAAGTCTGTTTTATCAGAGACTAGGATTACAACCCCTGCCTTTTTTTGTTTTCCATTTGCTTGGTAGATCTTCCTCCATCCTTTTATTTTGAACCTATGTGTGTCTCTGCACGTGAGATGAGTTTCCTGAATACAGCACACTGATGGTTCTTGACTCTTTATCCAATTTGCCAGTCTGTGTCTTTTAATTGGAGCATTTAGTCCATTTACATTTAAAGTTAATATTGTTATGTGTGAATTTGATCCTGTCATTATGATGTTAGCTGGTTATTTTGCTCGTTAGTTAATGCAGTTTCTTCCTAGTCTCGACGGTGTTTACATTTTGGCATGATTTTGCAGCGGCTGGTACCAGTTGATCCTTTCCATGTTTAGTGCTTCCTTCAGGAGCTCTTGTAAGGCAGGCCTGGTCGTGACAAAATCTCTCAGCATTTGCTTGTCTGTAAAGTATTTTATTTCTCCTTTGCTTATGAAGCTTAGCTTGGCTGGATATGAAATTCTGGGTTGAAAATTCTTTTCTTTAAGAATGTTGAATATTGGCCCCCACTCTCTTCTGGCTTGTAGGGTTTCTGCTGAGAGATCCGCCGTTAGTCTGATGGGCTTCCCTTTGAGGGTAACCCGACCTTTCTCTCTGGCTGCCCTTAACATTTTTTCCTTCATTTCAACTTTGGTGAATCTGACAATTATGTGTCTTGGAGTTGCTCTTCTCGAGGAGTATCTTTGTGGCGTTCTCTGTATTTTCTGAATCTGAATGTTGGCCTGCCTTGCTAGATTGGGGAAGTTCTCCTGGATAATGTCCTGCAGTGTTTTCCAACTTGGTTCCATTCTCCCTATCACTTTCAGGTACACCAATCAGATGTAGATTTGGTCTTTTCACATAGTCCCATATTTCTTGGAGGCTTTGCTCATTTCTTTTTATTCTTTTTTCTCTAAACTTCCCTTCTCATTTCATTTCATTCATTTCATCTTCCATCGCTGATACCCTTTCTTCCAGTTGATCGCATCGGCTCCTGAGGCTTCTGCATTCTTCACGTAGTTCTCGAGCCTTCGTTTTCAGCTCCATCAGCTCCTTTAAGAAATTCTCTCTATTGGTTATTCTAGTTATACATTCTTCTAAATTTTTTTCAAAGTTTTCAACTTTGCCTTTGGTTTGAATGTCCTGCCATAGCTCAGAGTAATTTGATCATCTGAAGCCTTCTCTCAGCTCGTCAAAATCATTCTCCATCCAGCTTTGTTCCGTTGCTGGTGAGGAACTGCATTCCTTTGGAGGAGGAGAGGCGCTCTGCTTTTTAGAGTTTCCAGTTTTTCTGTTCTGTTTTTTCCCCATCTTTGTGGTTTTATCTACTTTTGGTCTTTGATGATGGTGATGTACACATGGGTTCTTGGTGTGGATGTCCTTTCTGTTTTTTAGTTTTCCTTCTAACAGACAGTACCCTCAGTTTCAGGTCTGTTGGAGTTTTCTAGAGGCCCATTCCCGACCCTGTTTGCCTGGGTATCAGCAGTGGTGTCTGCAAAACCGTGGATTTTCATGATCCGCGAATGCTGCTGTCTGATCGTTCCTCTGGAAGTTTTGTCTCAGAGGAGTACCTGGTCGTGTGAGGTGTCAGTCTGCCCCTGCTAGGGGGCGCCTCCCAGTTAGGCTGCTCGGGGGTCAGGGGTCAGGGACCCACTTGAGGAGGCAGTCTGCCCATTCTCAGATCTCCAGCTGTGTGCTGGGAGAACCACTGCTCTCCTCAAAGCTGTCAGACAGGGACATTTAAGTCTGCAGAGGTTACTGCTGTCTTTTTGTTTGTCTGTGTCCTGCCCCCAGAGGTGGAGCCTGCAGAGGCAGGCAGGCCTCCTTGAGCTGTGGTGGGCTCCACCCAGTTCGAGCTTCCAGGCTGCTTTGTTTACCTAAGAGAGCCTGGGCAATGGCCGGTGCCCCTCCCCCAGCCTCGCTGCTGCCTTGCAGTTTGATCTCAGACTGCTGTGTTAGCAATCATCGAGACTCCATGGGCATAGGACCTTCTGAGCCAGGAGCGGGATATAATCTCGTGGTGTGCCATTTCCTAAGCCCGTCAGAAAAGCTCAGTATTAGGGTGGCAGTGGCCCGATTTTCCAGGTGCCATCTGTCACCCCTTTCCTTGACCAGGAAAGGGAACTAACTTCCTGACCCCTTGCACTTCCCGAGTGAGGCAATGCCTTGCCCTGCTTTGGCTAGTGCACAGTGCACTTCACCCACTGTCCTGCACCCACTGTCTGGCACTCCCTAGTGAGATGAACCCAGTACCTCAAATGGAAATGCAGAAATCACCCATCTTCTGCATCGCTCATGCTGGGAGCTGTAGACCGGAGCTGTTCCTATTCGGCCATCTTGGCTCCTCCTCCCATTATTTTTTAATATTTTCTGAAAATCTTCTTTAAAGAGAGAAAGCCAAATGTCACCCACTTTTTCATAAAACCTTACAGGCAAATCTATTATTCTTTTCTTTTTTGAGATGGATTTTCCCTCTTGTTGCCCAGGCTGGAGTGCAATGGTGCGATCTCGGTTTACTGCAACCCCCTGCCTCCCAGGTTCAAGTGATTCTCCGGCCCCAGCCTCCTGAGTAGCTGGGATTAGAGGCATGCCCCACCATGCCCAGCTAATTTTGTGTTTTTAGTAGAGACGGGGTTTTTCCTTGTTGGTCAGGCTGGCCTTGAACTCCTGACCTCATGTGATCCACCTGCCTCGGCCTCCCCAAGTGTTGAGATTACAGCTGTGAGCCACTGCCCCGGGCCATTTTTTTTTAAAGATAGCGTCTTGCTCTGTCACCCTCCTCACCACATTATAGCTCTGGGGGCCAAGCTGCATCACAATGGAAATCATGGAGCCACAGGAAGAATCCACTTAGCTTTGCAAGATGCTGCCCAAGGGGTTGCTTGGAGTAACCAAATTAACATTTTTCATTCTGCTCAGAGCAAAATATATGTGACAAAACATAGACACGAGCCACTTTGCTTAGCACCCAGTGTCAAACTGGTAAGACTCAAACTTGCTCCCAGATAGGCCATGCCATCTCTAAATCTTTTTAGAAGCTTCTGCATGTTAATAGGCATCCCTAGATGAGACTAATTTGGGAGCCATCATTTTTAAATGCACTTCAGGGCATTATTCATTTGGAATGTTACACTATAAGTTATCTTTAGTAAGATTTTGCCATTTCTGTAAGACTTTGCTGCTTCCCAGGCCTAATGAATTAGCCAGAAAGAACTTAGTTTTCCAGAAATTAAGGATCCTATTTTTACCTAATATATTGGCTTTACTCTCAGGTTCCCTTGATTGACTTAGCCAATGATTTTTTTTCCTACCTAAGCGTGTGAGGAAAATGAAACAAAGGGGCAGAACACAAAAATCCCCGTGAATTTCCAAAAGCCAAATTTTACAACCCTCCAATATTATCATTTACTACCACTTTCCTTCTGACCCATTCAGATGTAGGAGGCCTCTAACTGGAACTGGATTCAAGCCAGTTAATTACTGGATCAAATCTGATCCTGGACCCGGTCCCGTTTCTGTCATAACTTCTAAAACATCCAGCCAGTCATGGCTGGATAGCAGTTTGGAACAGAAATTTGCTCAGAGAAACTCAGCTCAAAACACAAATTCATGGAGCTCTGAAATCCGAGAGAGAATTTACCACGATCCCCAGATGCTCTGAGAGGTCAAAGGGCACAAGTGTTACAGAATCCTGAGGCGTCACTTTTCTGCCTGAAACCTCTGGCTGGTGGCGCCTTTACCTGTGTTTTGCTCGGGCCCACTGGGTTCGTTCTGTCCACTTGGCTCATGCTAGTGGTCTGGATCCCACACCTGCCAAGGGTGAGCTGGGTACAGAGCAGTGAAGGGTGTGTGAGCAAGCGAGCATGGGATCTGGCCACTGCACACAGCCAAGCATGCCAGCTGCAGTGGGGTGGGCAGCTCCAGGCACCGCCACAGGTGCCAGCTCCCTGTGAGGCTGCAGCTGGACCAGGCTGACTGCAAACAGCTTCCACTGTGGGTATCAGGGAATGCAGCGGTGCCTGGAAGCTTCGAGATGCAGGAACTGCAGAGCCCCAAATAAGGTGTCACAGCCCTGGCTTGGGGAGCTCCTAGGTCTGGGCTCCCTGAAGGGCCACAGCTCTTCTCTCCTTCTCTCTTCTCTTCTTCTTGCCTGCAATTTGGCAAGCAAGGGGTGCATTTCAGCCCTGTTTATGTTACACCTCTTTCAGCCCTGCTAGTTGGCAGGTCCCAAGTTCTTGTCCTGAGTCCAGGAAGAATGAGGTATGTGGGCAAGTAGAAGGTGAGCAAGGTGAAGAGGTGCTTTATTGAGCAACAGTACAGCTCAGAGGAGACGTGCAGTGGGTAGCTCCTTTCAGCAGGCAGGTCATCCCAATGTCTGTTCAGCTCTCAGCAGCTGAGAGAGATGCATGGTGGTTAGCTATGCCCACAGTGCCCAGGCTTTTCGAGCTGAGGAGTGCCTTCAAGCCAGTGCTGAGCCACTCTTAGCCCCACCTCAACGTCCCTCCTGTGCTCATCCGTTCCCAAAGTGTGGAGGGGGCCGAGGTGGCAGGGGGCTGGCATGTCAGCACTGCCCTGAGCTTGCACAAACTGGGCTGGGTTGCGACTGTGCCTGGGTTCAACCTCAATTTGGATCCGAAGTTGGAGTGGGCTCTGGGAGCGGAGACATGCCAGGTGGTGGGAGCAGGTATGACTGGGCCTACGGGGGCAGGGGGGCTTGCTGGGCCTCTGAGAGTGCAAAGATGCCCGGGCTTGCTGTCATGGGTGGATGGCTGCAGCTGTGCCTGGGAGGGTGGGGCTCCTGCCTGCCAATTTAGAAGGGGTGGGTCTCTCACCTGTTCCTGGCTCCCACTAACTTTGAGGAGTTCACAGCCCCAGCCACTCCTCCCCACTGCAGCCAGTGTCTCTGTAGCAACTGCTCCACATGGGCCACTGCTGCCATCATAGAGCGGTCCTTGCAGGTGCCTTTCTTGTACCTCAGCACTCCTGAGGGTCATTAGAAGCCCTAGCAACACTGCTCACCACACTATAGCTCCGGAGGCCCTAGCAGTCCTGCTCCCACAGATCCCACTTCTGACACCATCTATTAAAAGAAAATCTTCAGCTGAATTAAATTTAAAGGAACTTAATTGAGCAATGAATGATTCACGAATCAGGCAGCCCCCAGAATCACAGCAGATTCGGTGAGACTCCAGCACAGCTACATGGTGGAAGATTTATAGACAATAAAGGGAACGTGATGTACAGAAATCTGAAGTGAGGAGTGAGGTCCAGAAGCAACTGGGTCCGTTACAGTTCTCAGCAGTGAGGTCCAGAAACAACTGGACTGGTTACAGTGCTCAGCATTTGCCTTATTTGAACACAGCTGAACACTCAGTAGTGTGTGAGTGGCAGAAGTTTGGCTGTTGGGATTGGCCAGGACTCAGCTATAGTTACAGGTGCATACTCCAAAGTTAGGTTATCAGTCTTTCTACCTATTAAGTTAGGTTGCAGTTTGTCCACAGGGACTCAAATCTAGAAGTACAGAGTCCTTCCCAGGCCATATTTAGTTCACTGTAACAGTTCCTATTATTACCTCACTGACAGTTCTTTTTCTCTGAATTTTCCTTTCTTCTCAACAGCTTGTCCAAATGTTCCATTGGTCCCTGTTCATCCCGCCCTGCAGCTCTCCTTGACTGATTCTGCTCTTTGTGGTTTGCAGTCCTGTTTCTCTACAGCTTGGACCCCTTCAATCTTTCCATCATAGGTTTAACTCTCTGTTGAATTCTTATTTGTAGCTACGCAAATGTTACCTTAAGCTAAAAAAATTCAAAGTGAAAGCCACATCCTCCTCTCTTCCCTTATGTGTATGGTATTACTACCATGCAGCCAGTGACCCAAAATGGGATTTTTTCTGGGCTTTTCTTGCTTAGATTCAGGCTCATCTGGTGTCAAGCCTTGTTACTTTTGTTTCCTTGTTCTTTTATTTTTAATTTTTTTTCTTTTGAGACAGAGTTTCACTCTTGTTGCCCAGGCTAGAGTGCAGTGGTGTGATCCCGGCTCACTGCAGCCTCCACCTCCCGGGTTCACGCAGTTCTCCTGCCTCAGCTCCTGAGTAGCTGGTATTACAGGCGTTTGCCACCACGCCTGGCTAATTTTGTATTTTTAGTAGAGATGGGGTTTCTCTGTTTTGATCAGGGTGGTCTCGAGCTCCCGACCTCAGGTGATCTGCCCACCTCGGCCTCCCAAAGTGCTGGGATTACAGGCCTGAGCCACCGTGCCTGGCCTGCTTGTTGTTTTCATCTCATCCTGATTTCTGAATACAGGAGAGGAGCTGAGTTGGTGTTCACTAACAAGCACAGAAGCTTTGTTACATTTACAGTGTCATTCTTGGCAAAACCTGAATGGTATGTTTGTGGGGTGATGAGTTTCAGTCCCCTGTGACCTGTGCATCTGGCCAACACTGTGGTGACATCCTTAGGAATCCATGGGGAGAGACAAAGCATTCAGGAGTTAGTGGGTCACGTTTGACAAGGGCCAATAAAGAAATATGCAAAGACAAAAAACAAGAAGAACATTATCATATTTTATACCTTTTGTTTATATAAATTTATGTCAATGATTCTAGCTTATGTTAATATGCAATGTATACAATATGCTAACATATACAATATATGTTTATAGTTTAAACATTTCTGTCATGTTTTCAGATTCTTTAAAGATTACATTACACTTCCTATTTCAGATAGCTGTTTAAAATGAGTAAGGAAAAACGGATGTGTGCATCAGTTCTAACTGTTTATGGACTAAAACTAGTTGATTTCTTGGTTAAGAACAAAAAGTGACAACCTAATTAACTGAAAATTTTAAGTAGGCAATTATGGTTTTAGCTTTAATGTAAAATATTAACTATGCTCCATTCTTGCATTTTTAACCTAATACTCAATATAAATCGCCACATGCCATGTTTCAGATCAAGGTTCTACTTGTGATCTCTCATGAGTTTTTCAAGGTTTTAATTATCTGAGATGTAACAATGTACCCGTAACCTTACTGGCTTAAACCAGGAATTTATTCTTTTTACATGTCACAATTTTCTGGGTCAAGACACTGGACAGAGCGGTGTGGGTTGGTTGCTTCATGATGTCCCTGGTCTCATCTGGAAGGACTCTAGTGGCTGGAGATGTGAAGCAGGCACCCAGAAGGACTCTAGTGGCTGGGAACATGGAGCAGGCACCCAGCCCTCTCTTTGTGGCCAGCACGGACTTCCTTCCAGTCTGGTAGCATCAGGTAGTCAGGTTTGTCTGGCTTCTCCCAGGGTGTGTGTCCAAGAGGCCCAGGCAGAAGCTGTAAGGTCTCTCATGATCATCCCTCAGAAGTCCCAGAGCATCTCTCCTGCCACACTGTCCAGTTGTACTCATCACTGAGACCAGCCATGATTCAAGGGGGAAAGGTGATTAGATTCCACCTCTTGATGAGAAGCATAGTAGGAACCTGCAGCAGTCTTTAATAAACCACAGCTTGTCCTCTGGCCACAAACTATTAACGTTTCTCCCACATGCAAATTATGCTTTGCCCCTCTAAAGAGCCCCAGAATGGTTTTCCTTATGGCACTGGCTAGTAGCCCAACTGAATCCTGAATCAGGTTGTGGTGGCTTGTCATCTGCACCCACACACACTCAGCTGCAGTGAGGACTGAATCAGGTTGTGGTGGCCTGTCATCTGACCCCCCACACACAGCCACAGTGGGGACTGAATCAGGTTGTTGTGAGCTATCATCTGAGCCCACAAACTCAGCCGCAGTGAGGGGACTGCTGTGAAAACAGTCGACATTTCCCTTTAGAAGCTTTGGTGGGAGGCAAGAGGGAAGTACTGCCCTGCAGGCCCCGTCTAACAGTTGGTCATTCCCATGGGGCGCCTGTTACAGTTCTGTGATTAGTGCCCAGTCCTGGTCCCTGAAAACGGTGCCCAGTCCTGGTCCCTGAGAATGGTGTTTGTGTCCTTTTACTCCTCCCTCTGGGCTTTTGTCATTCTCCATGTTCTTTTTCCTTCAGTGCCTGGGTTGCCGTTGACCAGCTTTCCCTGCCTTTTTCTTATGGTCAATAGGGTATTCAATGGCTTCTTTTTCATTTTTTTCCTTTTCTTTTCTTTTCTTTTTTTTTACTTTGGCCTTTTGAGACAAGAAATTATTTCTTTATATTTTCTCTAAATTCTGTTTGAAAACTGAACCTTCTTCTTTAGATCATGTCCCTCTCCTGTCATATTTATTCAGTGACAGTTAGGGGAGGCTGGTAGCACTTTCCATGTTCTTCCCAGATGTCTCCTTAGGCAGATCCCTGAGATGGTGCAGTGCCCTTTCAGTTTCCATGTTGTGGCCATAGTTTTCCCACAGTCCCTCAGCAAGTAACTCTCAGACCTTTTCTCCAGTTTCCAATGACATTTTCTCACCGTCCTTCAGGCCCTGACCAAGAGTCTTGATGCCCTTCCAGGTTGCATGAATGGTCTCCTTGAGGCCCAGTTACAGGTCAGCCTCACAGTCGTGTCACATATTGTAGCTTCTGATTACCACAGCAGCTCATTTCCAGCTGCCATATTCTGTTCCAGTTATCTATTCTGAAGTAAAACAACTCATTATTACTTGTTTTTTGGCTTAGAGAGTCTTGGTGGCCAGCTCATCTCACACACAGTTGCAGCCAAGCTGGATTGTGTGAAAGCACAGTGGGGTGGTGTGCAGGGTGGCTCACTAGTGGTTGGGAGTGGATGTTGCTGGAGGCTCACTAGTTGTTGGGAGTCGGTGTTGCTGGAGGCTCAGTGGGGGATGTCAATGCGTGTAGCTAGTCATGGACTGGCCTTGTGGTTTCCATCATGAGGTCTCAGGGGAGTGGGATTTCCTGCCTGGTGACTGGCTTTCTCCTGGGTAAGTGTTCTGTTTTCTCAGCCTGGCTTCTGAAGTCCCCAAATACCAGCTTTGTCACCTTCTGTTGGCCAAATAAGTCTGTAGTCTGGTCAAGGTTTAAGGGGAATTGGTTCTCACAGAGAGAGGAGCAGGAAAGAATTTGTCACCTTTAGTCTACCAGAAATGAGATTTTTATAACAAGTTTATTCCAAATACATTCCAGTTCCCCTTGTGAATACTTTTTTGACTCACAGGGTATTTCAAAGTTTATTACTTGGTTTTCAGACATTTGAGGCTTTTCTGGATATCAATTTGTTGTTGGTTTCTAATTTAATTTCAAGTGTTCAGACAACATCCTTTGTATACTATTTCAGGCTTGAACCTTTTCTCAATCCATCGACATACAGTCTATCTTGGCACTGCCAAGTACCATTTGGGTCAGGATTTTGTCATTTAGATCCGTATTTTTCCTATATTTTTATCTGGTTGTTCCGTCAGTTACTGAGAGAGCAGTATTAATTCACCAGCTATAATTTTGGATTGTCAATTTCCTGCTTTTGTTCTGTTGTTTTTGATTCACATACTTTGAGGCTCTGTGTGTGTGTGTGTAGTTTGTGTGCACTTTGAGGCACAATTTATAATTGTAACATCATCCTCTCTGATTCTTTTATTTTTATTAAATTACCCTGTTTATTTCTGGTGATATATTTTGTTCTGAAGCCTCTTTCATCTAGTGTTAACATCTCTGTTGAAGCTTTTTATGATTAGTGTCTGGATAGCATATTTTTATGTTTAATCTGCATAGCATATTTTTTCTCATACTTTGTGTCTTTGTGTTTAAATTGTGTCTCTGTGGATGCCATATTGTTGGGTCTTGCCTTCCTCTCAGGTCTGGCAGTCTCTGTCTTAAGTAGAGTATTTGTCCACTT
This sequence comes from Homo sapiens, assembly GCF_000001405.40. Lineage (NCBI taxonomy): Eukaryota > Metazoa > Chordata > Mammalia > Primates > Hominidae > Homo > Homo sapiens. The sequence continues at coordinate 87,690 of NT_187513.1, read as the reverse complement.
ACATTGTAACTAATCATTGCTAAGGTTGGATTTAGGTCTGCCATTTTTCTACTTATTTTCTATTTGTTTGTTTATTTTTTTTAAGACAGGGTCTTGTTCTGTCACCCAGACTGTAGTGCAATGGTGCAATCTTGGCTCACTGCAACCTCTGCCTCCCAGGCCCAACCAATCCTCACTTGAGCCCCCTGAGTAGCTGGGACTACAGGTGCATGGCACCACACCTGGCTAATTTTTATATTTTTGTAGAGATAGGGTTTTGCCATGTTGCACAGGCTGGTCTTGAACTACTGAGCTCAAGCAATCTACCCACCTTGGCCTCCCAAAGTGTTCAGATTACAGGCATGAGCCACCATGCCTGGCCTTCGTCTGTCTTTTGATCTTCTATATATTCTTTCCTAACTTCTTTTGGGTTAAATATTTCTAAATATTCCAGTTTGATTAATCTTTTGGCTTTTGGAAATAATTTTTTATAGGCTGGGCATGTTGGCTTATGCTCATAATCTCAGCTCTGTGGGAGTCCAAGGGAGGTGGATTGCTTGAACCCAGGAGTTTGAGACCAGCCTGGGCAACATGGCAAAACCCTCTCTACAAAAAACCAAACCAAAATTTAGCCTGACATCTTGGTGTGCACCTGTAGTCCTAACTATTTGGGAGGCTGAGGTGGGAGGGTTGCTTGAGCCTGGGAGGTTGAGGCTGCAATGAGCTGTGATCATGCCATTCCACTCCTGCCAGGGCAACAGAGTAAGACTGTGTGTCAAAAAAGATCATTTTTTATAAATAATTTATAATTTCGAATTTTGGTAACAAACACATACCTTAAAATTTACCATCATAACCAGTTGTAAGTATACAGTTTTGTAGAGTTAAGAATATTTACATTGTTGTGTAGCAGATTTCTAGATTTTTTTTTATCTTAGAAAACTCTATACCCATTCAACAACTATTAATTTCCCCTTCCTTCCACCTCCTGGCAAGTACTATTCTACTTTGTGTTTCTAAAAATTTGGCTTATATACCTAGGGTTATATAATATTTGTTTTTTAAGTAGGTTCCATGTTATGTGCAGATGTGTCAGGATTTTCTTCCTTTCTATGGCTGAATAATATTTCTTCATATATATATATTTTCTCTCTCTATATATATATATGTATATTCTTTTGTTTATCCATCTATTCCTGGATGGACGTTTTGGTTTCTTCCACCTCGTGGCTATGTAATGCTCCTGTGAACACAGGTGTGCACATATCTGTTTGAGGTCCTGCTACTAGTTATTCTGTCTCTGTAGAAGTTGGATGGCTGGATCATATGGTCATTTTATTTTATTTTTTTGAGGAGCCAGTTAATATTTCCACCAACAGTGTTCAAGTGTTTCAGTTTCACCTGCACTTGTTACTTTCTGTTGGGTTTGAAGTGATGTCCCATTGTGGTTTCTATTTGCATTTCTCTAATGATTAGTGAAGTTACACATCTTCTCATATATCTCATGTATCTGTTGGCTATTTGTATATCATCTTTGCATCTTTGGATGAATGTTCTTTGTCCATTTTTTAATCACTTTATTTTGTTGTGTTGTAGCTGGGTTTTTTGGTCATGAGCATTCATTTATCTCACAGTTCATTCTTGTTACTTGGGCCAGGGTCATGATCATTCATTATCTCTCAGTTCATCCTCATTACGTTGGGCAAACAGTCATGCTGCAGGGTATAGATTATGTTATTCTGTTACTTTCAGGTAGAATTCGGGTCTAGGTTCTAATTGTTTCTAAGTTTAGATTCTGAATGAGAATCAGCAGAGGTAGACCACTGCTGCTGAGGCCTGGGGATTGCTGGGAAAAAGGCAGGAAACAGATACTGACCTGACCATGGAGGGTTTATGTTTCACGGCTCCCATCTGGGTACCCAAGGAACCTACATGTAGCTCGTGTGTGGAGAGCCTACATTGCCCACTCAAAGCAATTGAGGATGGAACAGTCTTGGGGCTGGAGCTCATTATTTGGAATGATAACCACATCTGAACAGAGAGGACCTGATAAGATGTTGTCCTTCCATGTATATCTGGGAATCCTGTGTAGGGTCTCTCTGTAAGGACAGGGGCAGTGTTGGCTCCTTGGCCTCTAGTTAGCTTCACAAGTAGTCTAGTAAAGGCTTTGCAAACTTGTCACCATCTGTGGACATTCTGGCCAGCTCTTGTTTTCACCCTACTGACTTCTTCAGACACTAGGCTTTTGCTTTAGACCATTCATGGTTTTCTTCCTCTTCAAATCAGTAATCAATAAATCGCCTTCAAGTCAATAAATTTCCACTCCTTTAGGAAACCCTGATCTTCTGGTCACACCAAGGTTTAATTAACTGGTTTGATTGTTTTTCTGTTTTCTTGGATTTTTTTTCCTTCTTCCTGGGGGTTTCTAGTAATTCTAGTTTGATGTCTCACTTTCTCCATTTTTTATTTCTTAGTTTTCTTCTGTGATTATTTTCACTGCAGCTGCAGGGCCTAATCCTGGATTGGCAGAGAACAAGCACTTACTCTGCCCTAATTGGAATCCAGGAGAGATAGCAGGTTCCCTAGTGTGAAAATGTGTTTGCTCCTCTCTGCTTCTGGTAGTCTCTCTGTAGGAGTTCTTTACGCATTCTGAATGTTCACTTCTTATGAGATACATGATGTGCAACTATAGGTTGAATGTCTCTGATCCAAAAATCTGAAATCCCAAATGCTCCAAAGTCTGAAACTTTTTGAGTGCCAACATGACACTCAAAGGAAATGCTTATTGGAGCATCTCAGACTCAGGTGTTTGAATTCGAGATGCTCAACCAGTAAGAATAATGCAAATATTACAAAATCTGAAACACATCCCAAGCATTTCAAATAAGGGACACTCAACTGGTATTTTTTTTTATTTTACAGTTTGCCTTTTACCCTGTTGGTTGTGACCTTTGAGGTACAGAAGTTTTTAGGTTTGATATATTTTTGCTTTTACTGCCTGAGCTTTTAATGTCATATCCTAAAAATTATTGACAAATTCATCGTCATAAAGCATTTTCCAAATTTGTTTTCCCTAGGAGTTTGATAGTTCTAGTTTTACATTTAGGTTTATAATTCACTTTGAATTGATTTTAACGTGGTGTAAGGTAAGAGTCCAACTTCATTGTTTTGCATGTAGTTATACAATTTTCCCATCACCACTTGTTGAAGAAACTGTGCTTTTCCATTGAGTGGTCTTGGCATCCTTCTGGAAGATCATCGGACCATATATGCCAGGGTTGGTTTCTGAGGTCTCTGTTGTGTTGGTCCATAAGTGTGTCAAGAGTGTCTTTATGCCATGACCACATTTTTTTTTTGGCTTATTGCAGTTTTGTAATTGCTTTGAGACCTTTAATTTTGTTCTGTTTCAAGATTGATTTGCCTATTCATGGGCCCTGGAGATTCCATATGAGTTTTAGGATAGGTTTTTCTGTTTATCAAAAATGTCATTGGAATCTTTATAAGGATTGTATTGAATCTAGGTCACTTCGAGTAGTGTTGACATCATTTCAAGATGAAATCATCTAATTTGCAAACCCAGCTTTTCTTTTCATTTATTTGTGTTTAATTTCTTTTAACAGTGTTTTGTAGTTTTCTGTGTTCAAATCTTTTGCCCTCTTGGTTAAGCTTATTTCTAATTTTTATAATGCTGTTGTAAATATAATTTTTTTTTTTTTGAGATGGAGTCTTGCTCTGTCTCCCAGGCTGGAGTGCAGTGGCACTATCTCAGGTCACTGCAACCTGCACCTTCCTTATTCAAGCGATTCTCCAACCTCAGCCTCTCAAGTACCTGGGATCACAGGTGCGCGCCACCATGCCCAGCTAACTTTTTGGTATTTTTAGTAGAGACAGTGTTTCTCCATGTTGACCAGGCTATTCTTGAACTTGTGACCTCAGGTGATCTGCCCACCTCGGCCTCCCAAACTGCTGGGATTGCAGGCATGAACCACTGCACCCAGCCAAATGTCATTCTTTTTAAAAATTTCTTTTCTTTTGTTTTCTCTTTCTTTTCTTTTCTTTCTCTCTCTTTCTTTCCTTTCTTTCTTTTTTTTTGAGACGGTGTCTCACTCTGTTTCCTAAGCTGGAGCACAGTGGCACAGTCTCAGCTGACTGCAACCTCCACCTTCCAAGTTCAAGCAATTCTCCTGCCTCAGCCTCCCAAGTAGCTGGGACTACAGGTGTCTGCCACTATGCCCAGCTAATTTTTGTATTTTTAATAGCGATAGAGTTTTACTATTTATATTAGAGATGGGGTTGACCCAGCTGGTCACGAACTCCTGACCTCAGGTGGTCCACCCGCCTTGGCCTTCCAAAGTGCTGGGATTACAACTGTGAGCCACTGCACCTGGCCTCTTTTTAAAATTTTATTTGCAGATTGTTCATTGTTAGTTTATAGAAATGGAACTGACTTGTGTGTGTTACTGTATCCTGAAACTTTGTTGAATTTCATTATTCTACCAGTATTTTGTGGAATTTCAGGATTTTTACACATTACATCATGTTGTCTGTGAACAAAATTTTGTACTTTTTCCTTTCCAATTTGCATGCTTTTTATTACTTTCTCTTGCCTAATTATTCTGAGTAGAAATTCCAGTACTGTGGTGAATAGAAGTGGCAGGAAAAGATGTTGCTATCTTATTCCTGATCCTAGAGGAAAAGATTTTAGTTTTTCACCATTCAGTATGATGTTAGCTGTGAGCTTTTCATGTACAATCTTTATTTACTGAGGAGTTTCCATATATTACTAATTCTTTGAGTGTTTTTATTACAAAAGGTGTTCATCTGGCTCTGGAACCAGATAAATGTTGACCTGATAGAATGGATTGGAATGTCCCCTTCTGGTTTTTGAACATTTTTGGAATATTTTGCAAAGGGCTGGCATTAATTCTTCTTGAAATGTTTGGTAAAATTTTCCAGTGAAGTTATCTGGACCTGGAATTTTCTTTTTTGGGGGGTTTTTGATTACTGGTTGAATCTTCTTACTAGTTACAGGTCTCTTTGGATTTTTTATTTCTCCATGATGCAGTATGGTGGTTTGTGTTTCTAGGAATTTATAAATTTTTCTAGGTTGCCCAGTTCTGTGGCATATGGTTGCTTACATTAGTCTCTTGTAATCTTTTTCATTTCTGTGGAATCTGTTGTACTGTCACTTCTTTTATTTATGATTTTAGTATTTGAGATTTCTCTTTTTTTCTTAATATAGCTGTGAGTTTTAAAATTTTTATTGATCTTTAAAAAAACAAACTCAGTGGTTTTTTTTTTCCTTTTTTTCTGGTCTTATTCTGCTTATCTCTGTTCTAATCTGTTATTTTCTTCCTTTTGCTTGGTTTGTCATTAGTTTTTTTTTTTTTTTCCCTTTAGGTGTAATGTTAGGTTATTGATTTGAGATCTTTCTTCTTTTTAATTTGATCACCTGCAGCTATAAGCTTCCCTTTAGCATGGCTTTGAGATCTTTCTTCTTTTTAATTTAAGCATCTGCGGCTGTAAGCTTCCCTTTAGCACTGCCTTTGTTGCCTCCTCCTGAGTTTGGGTATGTCATGGTTTTGTTTTCATTTGCTTAAACATTTTTTTTTGTCCTATTGTAATATAATTGTGTTGTTTTCAATAGAGGTAATTAATGAAACACATAATGAATTGTGCTTCTGTTTTTATAATATTTTAAGCATTCTTAACTCAGAAATGTAAATTTTAGAAAAAAATTCCATGCCAGGCACAGTGGCTCACACCTGTAGTCCCAGCACTTGAGGAGGCCGAGGTGGGAGGATCATCTGAGGTCAGGAGTTGGAGACCAGCCTGGCCAACATGGTGAAACCCTGTCTTTACTAAAAATAGAAAAAAAATATATAAAAGCTAGCTGAGTGTCATGGCGGGTGCCTGTAATCCCAGCTACTCTGGAGGCTGAGGCAGGAGAATCACTTGAATCTGGGAGGCGGAGGTTGCAGTGAGCTGAGATTGCACCACTGCACTCCAGCCTGGGTGACAGAATGAGTCCATCTCAAAAAAAAAAAGAAAAAAGAAAAAATTTGAGACATATTTATTTGTATTTCAATTTAGAAACTATGATCTCCTAAGTGTATTGACACAGCAACCTGACATAAAGATAAAGAATAATAAGTATATAACAAAACGGAAACTTGCAAATACCTTTTTTAATTAATTTTTAATTATATATATTTAAAAATTGCCGGGTGCAGTGGCTTACACCTGTAATCCCAGCACTTTGGGAGGCTGAGGTGGGCAGATCACATGAGGTCAGGAGTTTGAGACCAGCCTGGCCAACATGGTGAAACCTCATCTCTATTAAAAATCAAAAAATTAGCCAGGCGTGATAGCATGCATCTGTAGTCCCAGCTACTCAGGAGACTGAGGCAGCAGAATTGCTTGAACATGGGAGGCAGAGGTTGCAGTGAGCCAAGATAGTGCCACTGCACTCCAGCCTTGGTGACAGAGTGAGACTCTGACTCAAAAAAAAATTGTCTGGGCACGGTGGCTCACACCTGTAATCGCAGCATTTTGGGAAGCTGAGGCAGGCAGATCACGTCAGGAGATCGAGACCATCCGGGCTAACACGGTGAAATGCCATCTCTACTAAAAATACAAAAAATTAGCCGGACGTGGTGGCGGGTGCCTGTAGTTCCAGCTACTCCGGAAGTTGAGGCAGGAGAATGGTGTGAACCTGGGAGGTGGAGCTTGCAGTGAGCTGAGATTGCACCACTGGACTCCAGCCTGGGTGACAGAGCGAGACTCTGTCTCAAATAAAATAAAATAAAATAAAACTAAGGTGTGGTTGACATACAAAAATTACACATATTTAATATATACCTTTGTGTGTGTGTGTGTGTGTGTGTGTGTGTGTGTGTGTGTTACGGAGGTTTTACTCTTGTTGCCCAGGCTGGAGTGCAGTGACACGATCTCAGCTAGCTGCAACCTCCACCTCCCGGGTTCAAGCAATTCTCCTGCCTCAGCCTCCTGAGTAGCTGGGATCGCAGGCGTGCGCCCCGACACCCGGCTAATTTTTGTATTTTTTTAGTACAGACAGGGTTTCACCATGTTGGCCAGGCTGGTCTCGAACTCCTGACCTCAGATGATCCACCTGCCTTGGTCTCCCAAAGTGCTGGGATTACAGGTGTGTGACACCGAATATATACATCTTAATGAGTTTAGAGATAAGTATTCGCCCCAGGACTCATCACAACAAATAATGCCGTAAACTTGACCATCACTCCCCATATATTTCTCATTCTGACCCTTTTTAAAAAATGAGACCGGGAGTGGTGGCTCACGCCTGTAATCCCAGCATTTTGCGAGGCCGAGGCGGGTGGATCACGAGGTCAGGAGATCAAGACCATCCTGGCTAACACAGTGAAACCCCGTTTCTACTAAAAATACAGAAAATTAGCTGGGCGTGATGGCGGGCACCTGTAGTCCCAGCTACTTGGGAGACTGAGGCAGGATAGTGGTATGAACTCGGGAGGCAGAGCTTGCAGTGAGCTGAGATCGTGCCACTGCACTCCAGCCTGGGCAACAGAGTGAGACTCCGTCTCAAAAAAAAAAATGAGATGACCATTTCACCTAAAAGATACCCTCTTAAGTTTTATTTTAAGTGTACAATACAGGACGGCCATGCATCAGAGATATATGTGGGTTTGGTTCCAGACCACTGCAATAAAGTGAGTTATACAATTTCTTTTGGTTTTCCAGTGCATGTAAAAGTATGTTTATACTGTGCTGTATAAAGTGTGCAATAGCATATGTCTACAAAGTGTTCACACTTTAATTTACAAATACTTTATTGTTAACAAGTGCTAACAGTCATCTGAGCCTTCAGAAAGCTGCAATCTTTTTTTGTGTGCGTGACAGGGTTTTACTCTGTGGCTCAGGCTAGAGTAATTGCAGTCTCAACCTCATGCTCAATCAAACCCCCACCTCAGACTCCTGACTAGCTGGAACTACAGATACATGCCACCATGACCAGCTAATTTTTGTATTTTTTTTTTTGTAGAGATGGGGTTTTGCCATGTTGCCTTGACTTCCTGGGCTCAAGCAATCTACCCACCTTGGCCTCCCAAGGTGTTGGGATGACAGGTGTGAGCCACTGCACCTGGCCAAGTTTCAGTCTTCTTGCTGATGGAGGGTCTTGCCTTAATGTAAGGTGGTGGTTGCTGAGCGTTGGGGTGGCTGTGGCAATTTCTTAAAATAAGACACCATTGAAGTTTGCTGTGTCAATTGACTCCCTTTCACAAAAGAATTATCTGTAGCATACGATGTTGTTTGATAGCTTTTTACCCACAGTAGAACTTTCAAATTGGATTCAATCCTGTCAAACCTTCGTACAGCTGTACCAACTAAGTTTATGTATTATTGTAAATCATTGTGTCAATCCTGTCAAGCCCTCCTTCTGCTGTACCAACTAAGTTTATTCTAAATCTGTTGTCATCTCAACATTGTTTACACTGTCTTCACCACGAGTAGATTTCATCTCAAGAAACCACTTTCTTTGCTCATCCTTGGAAGCAACTCATCCACTCACGTTTTCTCCGGAGGCTGCTGCAGTCTCGCCAGATCTTCAGGCTCTGTCTCTGATTCTAGTGCTCTTGTTATTTCCACCATATCTGCAGTTACCTCCTCCACAGAAGTCGTGAACCCCTGTGTCATCTGTGAGGGTTGGAATAATCTTCCCAACTTCTCTCTCTCTCTCTCTCTTTTTTTTTTTTTGAGATGAAGTCTTGCCTGGGCTGGAGTGCAGTGATGCGATCCCAGCTCACTGCAACCTCCACCTCCCAGGTTCAAGCAATTCTGCCTCAGCCTCCCAAGTGTTTGGGATTACAGTCACCCCCGACCAGGCCCAGCTAATTTTTTGTGTGTTTTTAGTACAGACAGGATTTCACTATGTTGGCCAGGCTGGTCTCAAATTCCTGACCTCGTGACCCACGTGCCTTGGCCTGCCAACATGCTGGGATTACAAGTGTGAGCCACCACGCCCGGCCCCAACTTCTCCTAATGTTGCTATTTTGATCTTATTTTTTAAATCATGAATGTTCTCAATGACATCTAGAATGGTGAATCCTTTCCAGTAGGTTTTCAATTATTTTGCCCAGATCCATCAAAGGAATCACTTTCTAGAGAAGTTATAGCTTTATGAAATATATTTTTAAGTGATAAGACTTGAAAGTTGAAATTATTCTTTGATCCAAGGGCACCAGAATGAATGTTGGGTTAGTAGGCATGAAAACAATATTCAGCTCTTTGTACATCTCTGTAAAAGCCCTTGAGTACCAGGGGCATTGTCAGTGAGCGGTAATACTTTGAAAGGAATCTTATTTCTTGAGCAGTAGGTGTCAACAGTGGGCTTCAGATATTCAGTAAACCATATTTGTAAGCCGATAGTCTGTCATCCAGGCTTTGTTCCCATTTGTAGAGTACAGACAGAGCTGTGTTTTATCATAATTCTTCAGGGCCCTTGGATTTTCAGAATAGTAAATCATCATTGGTTTCAAGTTAACATCACCAACTGCATTAGCCTTTAACAAAAGAGTCAGCATGTCCTTTGAAGCCTTAAAGCCAGGCATCAACTCCTCTCTAGCTGGGAACATCCTAGATGGCATCTCCTTCTAGTAGAAGGCTGTTTTGTCTCCATTGCAAATCTATTTAGTGTTGCCATCTTAATCAGTTATCTTCTAGATAGCTTTCTGCAGCTTTTCCATCAGTACTTGCTGCTTTATCTTGCGCTTTTATGTTATGGAGATGACTTTTTTCCTTAAACCTCAAGAAACAAGCTCTTCTAGCTTCAGACTTTCCTTCTGCAGCTGCCTCACCACTCTAAGTCTTCATAGAATTGAAGAGAGGCCGGGTGCGGTGGCTGTCACACCTGTAATCCTAGCACTTTGGGAGGCCGAGGCGGGCAGATCACCTGAGGTCGGGAGTTCGACACCAGTCTGACCAATGTGGAGAAACCCCGTCTCTACTAAAAATACAAAAAAATAGCCAGGTGTGGTGGTGCTTGCCTGTAATCCCAGCTACTTGGGATGCTGAGGCAGGAGAATGGCTTGAACTTGGGAGGCAGAGGTTGCGATGAGCCAAGATCACGCCATTGCACTCCAGCTTGGGCAAGAAGAATGAAACTCTGTCTCAAAAAAAAGAAAAAAAAGTAAAAAGAGAGTTAGGCTTAGGCTTAATGGAATGTTTTTTGTTTTTTTTTCATCTTCTATCTAGACCAATTAAACTTTCTTCATAACAGCAGCAAGATTGTTTAGCTTTTTATCATTCATGTGTTCACTGGAGCAGTACTTTAAATTTCTTTCCAGAACACTTCGTTTGCATTCACAACTTGGCTAAGTGTTTGTTGCATGAGGTCTAGCTACTGGCCTGTCTTGCTTACAGCATGCCTTCCTCACTAAGCTTAATTATTTCTTCCTTTTGGTTTAAAGTGACAGACATGCAACTCTTCTTTCATGAACATATAGAGGCTATTGTAGGGTTATTAATTGGCCACATTTTAATATTAATAAAAAGAAGCCTGAGAAAAAGAGAAAGAGAAATGGCCCGTTGGTTGGGCAGTCAGAACAAACGCATTTGTCAATTGTTTGCTGTCTTATCCTGGTGTGATTTGTGGTTCCCAAAACAATGACAACAGTAGCATTAAAGATTACTGATTACAGATCACCACAACAGATTCAATAATAAAAATCTTAAAATACTGTGAGAATGACCGAAATGTGACACAGAGACGTGAAGTGAGCACGTGCTGTAGGAACAATGGTGCCAGTGAGACCTGCTTATTGCAGGGTGGCCACAAACCTTCAATACGTAAAACACATGGTCACAAAACACAATAAAGCAAAGTGCAGTGAAACAAGATGTGTCTGTCTTTTGATAGACTCTGACAATCTCTACCTTTGAATTGGTACATTCATACCATTAACATTCAAAGTGATTATTGATATCATTGGATTAATATCTACTATATTTGTTACTGTTTTCTATTCATTCTCCTCAGTCTTCATTCTTTTGTCTACCACTCTTTTTCTGCCTTTTGCAGTTTTCATTGATGATTTTAGATGACTCCATTTTCCCTGTCTTTCTTAGTACATACTTCTCTTTTTAAAACTTTTTTTTAACTAGTTGCCACAGAATTTGCAATATACATTTACAACCAATTCAAGTCCACTTTCAAATAACACTATCCAACTATCCCACAAATAAGACTACCTGCTTAACAAACAAAACACCTAATTCCTCAGTAACATTTACAACCAATTCAAGTCCACTTTCAAATAACACTATCCCACTATCCCACAAATAAGACTACCTGCTTAACAAAGAACACACCTAATTCCTCAATATACATTTACAACCAATTCAAGTCCACTTTCAGATAACACTATCCCACTTCACGGGTGACTACCTGCTTAACAAAGAAAACACCTGATTCCTCCCTCCCATCCTTCCATTCCATTCCTTGTATTATTGTTCCTTATTTCACTTGTGTATAAGCATGCATAATCTATCTGTGTGTATTTATTATTATCTACAAACTTATTGGTCAGATCAACTATGAATAAATACATGTTTTTATTGTACCACAATGCCTCCCTACCATCCTTCCATTCCATTCCTTGTATTAGTGTTACTCATTTCAATTGTATATAAGCATACATAATATATCTGTATTTGTTATTGTCTATGATCTTCTTGGTTAGATCAATTAAGAATAAATACATAGGTTTTTATTGTACCACAATTCTTTCTTTAATGTTCTTTTTAAAAAAATGTTGATCCAGGTTTCAGTTATATATCTTTTGTTTCCCTAAAGAATTTCATTTAACATTTCTTGCAAGACAGGTCTCCTGGCAACAAGTTTCTTGAATTTTTATTTTTCTGAGGAAGGCCTTAATTCTCCTTCACTTTTGAAGGGTGGTTTCAGTGGGTACAGAAACTTAGGTTGGTGGGTTTTTTCTGTCAACATTTTGAATTTTTCATTTCACTGTCTTCTTACTTTCACAGTTTCTGAAATGTTGAATGCAGTTCTTATCTTTGTGTCTCTGTAGGTAAGGTGTTTTCTGCCCCACCTCTGGTTTCTTTCAGAGTTTTCCTTTATCTTTTATTTCATATAGTTTGAAAATTATATGTCCAAGTGTAGGTTGTTGGTATTTATTCTGCCTGGTGTTCTCAGAGCTTCCTGGATCTTTGGTTTGGTGTCTGACATTAATACTGGAAGTTCTCAGACATGGTTGTTGCAGAACTTTCTTCTATTTCTTCTCCTCTTGGTATTCTCATTACTGTTTCACCTTTTGTAGTTGTCCCACAGTCTTGAATATCATCTTCTGTTCTTTTCAGTGTTTCTTTTCTTTAGTTTTCGAAGTTTCTGATGATAAATCCTCAAGCTCAGAGATTTTTACTCAGCTGAGTCCAGTCTACTAATAAGCCATCAGAGGTATTCTTCAGTTATTTACCACGTTTTTCATCACTACATTATGTTGAAAGTTCTTACGATGTCTGTCTTTCTCATTACATTACCCATCTACACTTGAATACTGTCTACTTCATTCATTAGGCCCTTAGCATATTCTCCAGAGGTTTAAAAAAAAATTCCAAGATCATATCTTTGTCTGCTTCTGAAGCTTGCTCTGTTGACACAAATTGTATTTTTTTCTTTTTTTGGATTTTAGTATGCCTTGCAATTTTTTCCCTTTATTCTGATGCATGAAGTACCCACTAAAAGTGACTGTTGTTAGTATAGCTTCAGTAATGCGGTGATGAGGTGACAGGGCAGGTGATGCTCTCTTAGTCTCTTTAGGCTACTATAACAAAATACTTCAGACTGAGTAATTCATAAACAACAGAGATTATTGTTCACAGATCTGGAGGCTGGAAAGTACAAGACTAAAGGGCCAGGATATTTGGTGTTTGGTGAAGGTCAAACATTCAGACACTCTCAACGACTATAGCGACAGCAGCAGTCTTCAGGAATCCTATGTGAGGGACAAACACTCAGAAGCCAGCTGGAGTGTTCTAGAATCCTATGTGAGGGCCAAACATTCAGACCACAGCAGTAGTGTTGTGGAATCCTATGTGAGGGACAAACTTTCAAACCCTTGTAGCAGTGTTCTGGAATGCTATGTGAGGGACAAACATTCAGACCACGGGAGCAGTGTTCTGGAATTCTATGTGAAGGACAAACATTAAGACTCTCATAGCAGTGTCCTGGAATCATATGTGAGGGACAACCATTCAGACACCAGCAGAAGTGTTCTGGAATCCTAGGTGTGGGAAAAACATTCAGAACCTAGTAGCAGTGTTCTGGAATCCTATGTGAGGGACATACATTCAGACCACGGCAGCAGTGTTCTGGAATGGTATGTGAAGGACAAACATTCAGACCCTTGTAGCAGTGTTCCAGAATTTTATGTGAGGGACAAACATTCAGACCACAGCAGCAGTGTTCTGGAATCCTATATGACGGACCAACATGCAGACCCTTGCAACAGTGTTCTGGAATACTAGGTGAGGGAAAAATATTCACACCCTTGTAGCAGTGTTCTGGAATTCTATGTGACTGACAAACATTCAGACTCCAGCAGCAGTGTTCTGTAATCCTATGTGAGGGACAAACATTCAGACCCCAAGAGCAGTGTTCTGAAATCCTATGTTAAGGGAAACATTGAGACCCCAGCATGAATGTTCTGGAATCCTATGTGAGGGACAAACATTCAGACCACGGCAGGAGTGTTCTGGAATCCTATGTGAGGAACAAACATTCAGACCACAGCAGGAGTGTTCTGGAATCCTATATGAGTTATAAGCATTCAGACCCTCATAGCAGTGTTCTGGAATCCTATGTGAGGGAGAAGCATTCAGAGCACAGCAGGAGTGCTCTGGAATCCTATGTTAGGGACAAACATTCAGAACCTCGTAACATTGTGCTGGAAACCTATGTGAGGGACAGACATTTAGACCCTCGCAGCAGTGTTCTGGAATCCCATGTGAGGGTCAAACATTCAGATCCTCGCAGCAGTGTTCTGGAATTCTATGTGAGTGACAAACATTCAGACTCCAGCAGCAGTGTTCTGTATTCCTATGAGAAGGACAAACATTCAGAATCCAGGAGCAGTGTTTTGAAATCATATGTTAAGGGCAAACATACAGACCCTAGCATCAATGTTCTAGAATCATATGTGAGGGACATACATTCAGACCCTCGCAGCAGTGTTCTGGAATCCTAGATGGGGGACAAACATTCAGACCCCAGCAGCAGACTTCTGGAATCCTATGTGGAGGACAAACATTCAGACAATGGCAGCAGTGTTCTGGAATCTTATGTGAGGGACAAACACTCAGAGCCTTGTAGCAGTGGTCTGGAATCCTATGTGAGTGAGAGTGCCTTGAGCCTACCCAACCTGACGCCCCCAAAGCCCTCACAGGGTCTGACCTCCCAGCATGCACCTGCCTCTCCCTGAACCCCAACTGCCCACCCTGCCTGTTCCCCGGCCTCCTCCATCCTGTGCAGCCCATAGACTGTGACCATCTCTCCAGCCACTCTGGCCCTTCCTTTACCTTTGTCCTGTCAGAATCTCTGAGCAGGATCTCCCAGGTCCATCCAAATACGTGCTTTGTCCACTTTTGACTAGGCCCTTGGGCATCACTGGGCTATCCCAGCTGTCCACAGGGCCTTCAATAATGCACAATGCACCTGGCTTATCCAAGCAGTGCTCAGCAGCCCACATTGACCAGGTCCCTGCTGACCAGACCCCACACATCAGGTCCTCCCTGATGACACCCTCACTGATTAGACTCTCATGATCAGGCCCCAGTAACAAGGCCCCCACTGCCGGGCACACAATGACAAGGACTCCACTGACCAGGACCTTACTGACAAGGACTCACTGACAGGGCCTCACGGACCAAGTCTTTACTGACAAGTCCTCACTGACTAGGTCATTATTGACAAGGCCTCACTGATCAGGTTCCACTGATCATGAACTCATTCCCTGGCCCAAAGATGAGGCCCCACTGACCAGGCCTCCAGGGAACAGGTTGCCACTGATCAGGCCCCTAATAACGAGGCCTTATGTCACCAGATGCCCCTGACTGGGACCCTAGTGAGTAGACCCCACTGAACCGGCACCAAATGCTGAGATCCCCGCTGACCAGGTCACCCTGTAGACCGGTGCTACAAAAGTCACCACTGACCAAGTCCTCTCTGACCAGGACAATACAGATTAGGTCCCACCGACAAGGCTGCCCTGACCAGGGCCCCACTGACAAGGGCCTCACTGATGAGGACACGCCCACCAGGGTCTGCTGACTAAGTCTCATGTGCCCAGTCCTCCACTGAATAGCACCCCTTGACCTGGTCACCAGTGCCCCAGCCCATGCTGACCAGGCCAGCACTAAGCCCCAGCTGACCAGGTCTCCACTGATCAAGCCCCACAGCCCAGGTTTGCACTGACCAGACACCAAACAACTGGCAGCCAATAGGTCCCCACTCACCAAAACCCCCACTACTAGACCCCACTAATGAGACCCTCTCTAAGCAGACCCCTGCTGACCACTATCCCACTAAATAGTCCTCACTGACCTAGGTCCACTGACCAGGCCCACACTGATCAGGCCCCTCCTAACCACACTGGAAATCCAAGCGGCAATGACATGTTTCATATGGCAGAAGTTGGAACAAGACAGAGAGAGGAAAGAGGTTCCACAGCCTTTTAAACTACTAGATCTCATGAGAACTCACTCACTATCAGGAGGATGGCATTAAGGGCTTGGCGCTTTGCCATTTGTGAAGGATCCACTCCCACTCCTTTATGATTAAAGCTTTTTCCACCTAGGCCCCGACTCTAACATTAGGGAGTGTACTTTCACATGAGCTTTGGAAGGGGCATAGAGAAAAACCGTATTATTCTGTCCCTGACCCCACAAATCTCATGTCCTTCTCACATTGCAAGATACAGTCATGCCTTGCCAGCAGTCTCCTAAAGTCTTAACTCATTTCAGCATTAACTC
The DNA here is from genome assembly GCF_000001405.40 of Homo sapiens. Taxonomy (NCBI): domain Eukaryota; kingdom Metazoa; phylum Chordata; class Mammalia; order Primates; family Hominidae; genus Homo; species Homo sapiens. The sequence continues at coordinate 71,667 of NT_187513.1, read as the reverse complement.
AAAGTTACAAAGTGCAAAGTCTCATCTGGGTCAAGGCTACATTCTCTTTTGCCTACAAGTCTCTGAAATAAAAAGCAAGTTCACTGCGTCTAAGGTACAATGATGGTACAGGCATTGTGTAAGCTTTCCATATCCAAAAGAGAGACATTTTCCAGAAAGCTTCTTATTTTTATCTGAGGCCCCCTCAGCCTGGCCTTCACTGTCCATGTTTTTGTCAGCATTCTTGTCACAGCCATTTAACCAGTCTCTAAGATGATCCAAAAATGTTCTCATCTGCCTGTCTTCTTTGGAGCCCTCCAAACTCTTCCAACCTCTACCCATTACCCAGTTCCGAAGTTGCTTTCACATTTTTAGGTATCTTTATAGCAGTGCTCCAGTCCTCATTTGCCATTTTTGGTAAGATTTATCTTGAAAAAGAGGTTTAATTGGCTCATGGTTCTGCAGAGTGGACAGGAAGCTTAGTGCTTCTGCTTCTGGGGGGCCTCAGAAATCTTTCAATCATTGTGCAAGGTAATGAAAGAGTGAATTGTCTCACATGGCAAGAGGAAATCACGGAGAGTAGGGAGTGATATAGAGTTTTCAGTGGCCAGATCTCACGAGAAGTCACTCATGATTGTGAGGACAGTACCAAGGGGATGGTGCTGAACCACTCATGAGAAATTTGCCTTCATGATTCAATCACCTTATACCAGGATCCACCTCCAACATTAGGAAGCATAATTCAACAAGAGATTTGGTGGGGACACAGGGACACATATTCGAATTGCCTCATCAGTCTTTGAGTATAAAGACATCCATAGCAGGCTTTATCCAGCCAGCTTCTTTGGGATTCTTTATAGGGTTTCAGATCTATACGATATCCACTAAAATATTCCTACTTCAAAAGGCAATAAAGTAAGTGGTATTATCATTCTTCAAAAAGTTATAATGGTAGTGTAGGCATTCATAGTATGATTTAGTTCATTTGCTACTGTTTCTATTCTATCACCATATTAACACTTTCGTACACAATTCTATATTCAGCTGGGTTTCAGTTGAGCACAAAGTCATCCTTGTACTACCACCGATAGCTGGCACCAGCTCTTTGATACTGTTATCATTCTGCTGTAGAAAGTACCCGTGAACTGGAAAAAGTCCACACTCGAATAGCTAGTCATTCAACACTATCAAATTTTAGGTGACTTTTTGAAAAAATAGTATCTCTTGTTGCAAGAAATGCTCCATCTGTGATTTCAAGTCTCTCACTTGAGTGAATTGGATGGAAGTGGTGAATTTCAGCCAAAGTGGCCAAAGAAATCCTGTTCCTGTGATAATGACTCCATCAGCCTCTGCACCTCTGTCTTCCCTTCTGCCACATGTTGTCTGTTCTCCGTGACTTTGGTAAGAGCTTCCTTGTGTATGTGAATGATGTCCAGGATGTTTGTCTTGTGTCCCTGAGACAGCACTAACAGGTCCATGGCTGGGTCCAGGTCCTTCCTGGACTGACTGGCAAAGAGCTCACTGACAGAGTGGAAGGCATCTATACTGAAGTGGATGGCCTGGTCCAGCTCCAAGGCCTGGCTGAGGCTGAAGAAGAACTGTCAGGCTTCTGATGCTCTTTCTCAAAGCCTGCCACCACTCATTGGCTGTGAAGTTGACCTGAGTGCCCTGTTGTCCATCTTCTTGGTGAAGCACTTGAAGCCATCAATCTTGCTCTCCCACTCCTAAAAGTTGAGTGTCACACTGGGGGTGGGCTCAGGGCCAGGAAGAATCTGGCACTCACCATCTCATCCTTCTCAGCCTTCCTCTTGCCCTGTCTCCAGGCTATCTCTTCAGTGCTGGTGGGGCACATCAGGAAGTGACAAAAAATGTGGCACTGCACCTGCATCCAGAAGCTGGCTGTGTGGTTCATCTACAAGATTGGGCCCTTTCTGCACTTGAACATAGATCCACTTCACCATAGATGCCTTCCACACTGTCAGTGAGCTCTTTGCCCATCAGCCCAGGCAGGATCTGGACCCAGTCATGGACCTGTTAGTGCTGTCTCAGGGACACCAGACCAACATTCTGGACATCATCCACGTACACAAGGAAGCTCTTACCAGAGTCCTCCTCAAGATGGCCTGTGGTCTGCCTCTTGGCACCCGAGAAGCCCACAGTGCTGTAGAAGCCCCGATGCTTGGACTGGAGCCCCAAAGGCGGCACACACCCCAGTTCTGAGCCTGCTGCAGGGGGGCCCATGGTCCCCCTCCCCTCCCAGGGCTCAGGATGAGGTCCGACTGGGACAGAATGCTTTAGGTATGGGACTTGTGCCCCAGGAGGGGACCTCTGTCACACACGTTGGGTGAGAATATGTATGGCATGCTGCTGGCTGCCAGGGCTGTTGGGATGCACGTTCACCCTTCCCTTCAGGGACCTCAAAGTGACCAGCTTCCCCTTTATGAGTGACTTCCCAAGGCCCAGGAGCCATTTGGGGCTGCAGAGCAGCTGGCTGCATGCTGCCCTGGCTTCTTCCATGTTGTGCTGGTCACTACCTACCAAGGGGTGTCAGATGCAGGCACAATGTAGGACGATTGTCTCTGGGCCTGTGTCTTGGTTATCATGGAGCTAGACTGGGCCTGGTGACAGGGCCCTGATGGGGTTGTCCTGTGTTGTCACGGAGGTGATCAGGAAAGATGCAGAATGGAATTGCTGCGAGGATGAATGAGATGACTGTCAGCACATAACAGGCAGCTGGTGAGTGTTCAGGGATTACCCTCAGTAGCTGCCCAGAGACCAAAACCATCCACCTGATAGTGACTTTTCCCAAGCCAGAAGGAAGAGAAAAGAGCAGGTCCCACTCACCTGAATCTGATCAGTGAGCTGTGTTGAGATGTGCCTCTCATCTAGAAAATGGTCCTTCACGCAGAGCTACTCACAGACACTGCTGTGTGTCTCTAACTGCTCCACAACACAGAGGCGATGGGGACTCAGCAACAGTGACATTGTGGGGTGACACAACCCACCACCATGGGAGTCTGCTTGGGTCAACAGGGCCCAGAGTCAGTGTCCTCTATCCCCTGAACTGACATGTGTGTATGCAATGTATTTGTGTATGCATATGTGCCTGTGTGTGTGTGAGTGTGTATGTGTGTGTTTGTCTTGCTTCTCTGGACAGGCCTAGCTTCTCCACTCATGGGTGCACCCAGTTCCTCATCACTGTCACCTTAGAGCATTAGAGCCTCTATAGGTGCTCCCCAATCTCTGCCCTCCCCACCCATGGTGGTCCTGGGGATGCGGACAGAGGAGGGGCACTGCATAATGCTGAGAGGGCTGGCACCCTCTCTAGGTGGAACACAGGTCATTTGTAAAGTTCTAGGTCTGCCAAGCAGTATTGGATTCAACACATCTTCTCACCTTCTCTTTCCAGCCACCCTCCAGGGTGCCCCGACTCACTTTCCCTGCAGATGGAGGCAAGGAGGCTCCACAGACAACCCCCCTGCCTGAGGTCACATAGTGGCCAGCAGGCCAGGTACTGACAAACTGCCCCTGACCAGGTTCCCAGTGATGAGTGATGAGACCCCTAATGACCACTCCTCCATTGACCAGGTCCCACTGATCAAGTCCCCACTGACCATGTCTTCCTAACCAGGCCCACACTTAATAGGCCTCATGGGCCAGACCCCACTGACCAATTTTCCACTGACCTGGTCCCCATTGACAAGACAGGGTTCCCACTGACAAGACCACAATTTACCAGGTTGCTGCTCAACCGACCCCCCACTGAACAATTCTCCATGAACGAGTACCCAGCTGACTGAGCCCCCTCTGACCAGGCCCTCACTGACCAGGCTCCAAGCCACTAAGGCCCCACACTGACCAGGCCCGTGATATATTGTGTATGCCCCACCAACCAGTTTTTCATTGTTTATGTTCCAACAGATCAGGCCCCACTAATAAAGCCACCACTGACTAGGTCCCCCCACTGACCAGGCTTCCAATGACTAGGTCACCAGGTCCCCACTGATGAGGCCTTTACTGAGGAGGCTGCCACTAACCAGGCCCCTGCTGATCAGGTCCCAAATGACCAGGTCCTGATGACCAGGTCATCTCTGACCATGGTCCACTGACCAGGCCTCGGAGCAACGGGGTTCAAAGTCTCATTACAATGTCCCCCTCAGCTCATAGACCCTCCCTCCCTGCATGTGTGCCCAGAGGTCAGGCCCTGGGGTTTTTTTTTGGGACGTGGCCTTTCCTCCAAGACACAGGGAGAGACAGTTGGCCTCAGGCTCCAGGTTCCCAGCTCCACACTCACCCCAAAGGCCCTCTGGGCCCGTCTCAAAGGAGAAAGTGAGGTGGCCTGACACTGCCTGGACACACCATCTACCCTATTCCTGAGTGTCAGGGTGTGAGGAAGGGAGGGACATTTGGCAGATAAGGCACGCTGTGCTGTTGGGTCTCTCAGGGCCCTTCCCACAGAGCCCCGATCTAAAGACAGAACACAGAGGCTACAGGAAGACTAATCCAGAACCTCTGAGACAGCCAGGGACCACATGAGGACTCTCCCCAGACAGCCAGAAGGCCCTTTGCTAGTTTCTTGGTACTTCAGTGGATGTGGCAGTGGTTCTTCTGTTGGGGACCAGTGAGTACACACTGGGGAGGGCTCACCTGTGCTTCCTCAGTGGCTCCACCTCTGCTTCTAAAAAAAATGACTCATTCCAGAGCTGGCGCAGAGAAAATACAAGCTGAGCTTAGAACATCTTCTGCCAGAAAGTAAAAAAGTGCCGACAGAGTAATGGAGACAAATCAAAGAGACATAAAGTCAGCTTGGAATGTCTACTACTGGCCTAATCTTGGGGAATTGGAGCATCAGAATCATGAGCTTTCCTTCTCCCTTATTTATTGGTTTTATTTCTCCATGTAGAACAAAGAAGAGAATAAGAAAATAATCATCTGGTAACCATCATAGTAATAATTGTTCAAACACAAGTCATCCATGAAATGCTAAATCTAGTGGGTTCTGAGGAGTAACCAGATATTTACAGAGCCTCAAAGTATCTCCATACAAAATACAGTTGAACTACAAAAAGAAAATTGTAACATTAACATGGACAAACCTGGCAGGTACTCCTTAACTCTCCTAAGTAATAAAAACTGTAAAATGCAAATAAGCCTTCGATGACCTTTACTAACCTTTACTAAAGTATCAGTGATGACTTGGTTGTTTAAACAGCTGACATTTGGGCAATTTGAGTATGTCAAACTCAATAATACTGGTTTTCATTTGCAAGATCCACTTAAAACTTAAGGAGGCCAAAAAACATCATTTAAAATACCCTATAAATTATAATCATACATATGATACAAAAATATCCTACTTCAGTAAATATTGGAATGTTATATATTTTATGAGAAACAATTAAAATGTGTAAATAGCCCAGTAATAAAGTTTTATAATCTTTTAAATCATCATAGAATTTTTCCTTAAGACTTTATGGTTAAATATTCTCTTCATTAGATGTGGCTTACCCGTGGATTCTAGAGAAGAAAGTAGATGGGAGCAAGTGTCCAATACAGCAACAGCTGGAAAGAAAAATAAAGAATTTTGTTCTTTACCTAAAACACTTCAGTTAACTAAGTGTGAGTTTAAAAACTAAAGACTTGAGAACTTTATCAGAGTTAATAAGAATGAGAAATATGTATGTACATTTACAATACAAAATTACTATTTAATAATTTACACATGGCATTAATTCTAATTGTGTTTAAATATCAGAACTTTTTCAGTCTTCATTCATGTAATCAACAGCCACATGCTAAGGTACTAGAACCAGCACTGGAATTACAAGATGAAGATGGCATGGTCCACCTCTCAACAGTCATAAGCTATAACCTAAAAAACAGACAGGCAGACAATGTCCATATAGAGTCATAGATACCGTGACAGGTATACAGCAGGGCACTACTGGAACACAGAGAAGGGACATCTACCCACTTTTATGTCAATATCATGGGCTTTCTGGTGGAGGAGATAACATAGGTTGATACCTGAAGGACAAGGAAAAGCTTCCCAGATAGAGGAAAGAGGCAAAGGCAAAGAGCCTGAGGTGAGGAAGAGCCCTGCAGAGTTCCACTCCATCCAGTTTGGTGCTAGAGCAAAGGGCAGAGTGCAGTAAGTGGTGAGAAACAAGGCTGAGTAACTTGGCAAGAATTACATTGACATGGGTGTTTTTATTTCATGGTGAAAAATTTGGAACTTTTCCTGAGAACAAGTGTAAGCCAATGACACATTAAATTAGAGGAGATTTAAAATGTCACCTGTCAAGTGACTGCTTATGAAGGGTTATTGCTCAGCTAAGTATTTCTGAATGAGTCTTAGGTCTGTTGGCCTTCAATCTCTACCGAAACCCTGAGAACTTGATGATGCTTTTGTTTTCTGAGAATCGTTTCAGTGTGCTGGCTGACAGTTCCATGAGGATGGCAAAACTTAAGAAACTGTAAAGCCAGTGAAAAAGAGATGCACAGACTTCTTGGGAACTGTTTAAGCTTAGGAACATGATGAATTTATGGTGCATAAGTACAGTCTTCTCTGTGAAAGTTTTTGTTTTCACATCTTTCATTAGATGTGTGTAAGAAAAAAATATTGATGTAGTATCTACTAACCCAAGAATGAAAAGGAATGCCATTTGCTATTTACACTTTATTTCTAAAATAAACCTAAATTTAATTAATAAATTTTGTCAACGTACTTCTCTTTGTTTCTCTAATTATTTATTCTACACAGTCCAGCCCCATCTAAAATAAGTAAAAATAATAATAATGTCTAAATTAAACAAGAAACATTATCATGAAAATCATGTATCACTTACAAAATGTGGCCTTTAGTATTTTTAGTGACTAGACATAACTTGAAGTTTGCTTAAATAGAAAAATAATCACATAAATAAAATAAAATTTCTACTTATTTTAAGTTTAGATAACAGAGGATGTATATGTGTAATGCTGTTTAGAGTAATCTGACAAAAATGCAGTTAATATTGATCTATTGCATATACATGATTTTAGAAAGGTAGTGTTTTATTAGTACAAAGGTTAAACAATGGCCAGGCATGGTGGCTGATACCTGTAACCCCAGCACTTGGGGAGGCCAAAGCAAGCAGATCACAAGGTCAGGAGATCGTGACCATCCTGGCCAACATGGGGAAACCCCATCTCTACTAAAAATACAAAAATTAGCTGGGCGTGGTGATGTGCACCTGTAGTCCCAGCTACTTGGGATACTAAGGCAGGAGAATTGCTTGAAGCCAGGAGGTGGAGGTTGCAGTGAGCCAAGACTGCACCACTGCACTCCAGCCTGGTGAGAGAGTGAGACCCTGTCTCACAAAAAAAAAAAAAAAAAGATTAAGTAATTAAAGCCATCTTTTGCAATGAATGCATTGCTTTGAAATTCTTAGAAAACTCTGCCCTTTATAAAAGTTTAATCCATTTTTTACTTCAATAAATTTTATCTTAAAAAGAAATTTCTGTTCTCTACTTATAGTAAACTTTTCTTTTTTTTTTCTAGTTTGTATTCTAAATTAACGTGGTACCTCTGTAAGTTTCTTCCAAAGGCATATTGAGGGATACCGAGGTTTGCAGTACAATTAAACCCATCACACAGGTTGTGAGCATAGGACCCAAGAAGTAGTTTTTCAACCCTGGCCCACTCTGTCCCTCCCCATTCTTATTTCCCAGTGTCTATTATTCCCACCTTTATGACAATGTGCACCCAATATGTAGCTCCCACATGAGTGAAAACATGAGATATTTGGTTTCTGTTTCTGCGTTGGTTTGCTTAGGAGAGTGGATTCCAGCTGTATTCATGTTGCTGCAAATGATGTGATTTTGTTCTTTTCATGGCTGCATAGTATTCCATGGTATATATGGAATTTTCCAATCTACCTTGGATTTTCAATCTACCTTGGATGTACCTGGATTGACTCCACGTCTTTGCTATTGTGAATAGTGCTGCAATGAACATACATGTGTATACATCTTTTTGTTACAATGATTTATTGTCCTTTCGGTATACCCCTAGTATAGTAATGGGGTTGCTGCATCCAACAGTCATTCTTAGTTCTTAATTTCCAAACTGCTCTCCATAGTAGCTGAATTAATTTACATTGCCACAAACGGTTTGTGTTCCCTTTTCTCCACAGCCTCCCCAACATCCTTTTTTAAGTTTTTATTTATTATTTGTTTTTAACAAAAGTCATTGTGACTGGTGTGAAATGGTATCTCATTGATGTTTTGTGTGGCATTTTTCTGATGATTAGCAATGGTAAGCATTTTTTAATGTTTGTTGGCCACTTACGTGTGTTATTTTGAGAACTGTCTGTTCATGTCCTTTGCCCATTTATAATGGTCTTATTTATTTTTTGCTTGTTGATTTGTTTAGGTCTCTTATGGATTCTGGATAATAGGCGTTTGCTATATCCATACTTTGTGAATATTTTCTTCCATTCTTTTAGGCTTTCTGTTTAATCTCGTGATAGTTTCTCATGCTGTGCAGAAGCTATTTAGCTAAATTAGATCACACTTGTCAATTTTTGTTATTCTTGCAATTGCTTTTGAGGACTTAGCCATAAATTAACTGACAAATATGATATCCAGAAGAGTATTTCCTAGGTTTTTTCCAGGATTTTTATAGTCAGAAGATGTACTCTTATGTAAAGAAAGCACAAACCTTTTTTTTGTTTTGTTTTGAGACAGAGTCTCCATCACCAAGGCTATAGTGCAGTGGTATGATCTTGGCTTACTGCAACCTCTGTCTCCTGGGTTCAAGTGATTCTCCTGCCTCAGCCTCCTGAGTATCTGAGATTACACATGCCTGCCAACACGCCTTGCTAATTTTTGTATTTTTACTAGAGACAGGTTTCATCATGTTGGCCAGGCTGGTCTCAAACTCCTGACGTCAGGTGATTCACCTGCCTCGGCCTCCCCAAATTTTGGGATTACAAGTGTGAGCCACCATGCCTGGCCAAGCACAAAGCTTTTAAAATAAAAAGGGAAATGAACATTTTAGTGTTTTGTTTAATTCATAAAATGCAATTATTTTGGATTCTACTAAATAATAAACATCCATATGTGGCAAAGTGGATGCTAATCATTCAGTTGTGATTATGGGTGGGAAGAATTGAGATGGTGCAAATAAACTTTTTTAATTTTTTTTTTATTTTCAAGATGGAGTCTTGCCCTGTCACCCAGGCTGGAGTGCAGTGGTGCAATCTCAGCTCCTGCAACCTCCGTCTCCCAGGTTCAAGCAATTCTCTGCCTCAGCCTTCCTAGTAGCTGGGATTACAGGTGCCCACCACCACACCAGGCTAATATTTTTTTTTGTACTTTTAGTAGAGTTGGGGTTTCACCATCTTGGCCAGGCTGGTCTTGAACTCCTGACCTCGTGATACACCTGCCTCAGCCTCCCAAAGTGCTGGGATTACAGGCATGAGCCACCACACCTGGCTGGTGCAAAGAAACTTTAAAAGTGGCATGGGCCGGGTGCGGTGGCTCATGCCTGTAATCCCAGCACTTTGAGAGGCTCAGGCAGGCAGATCACAAGGTCAGGAGTTCAAGAAGAGCCTGGTCAATATGGTGAAACCCTGTCTCTACTAAAAATGCAAACATTAGCTGGGTGTAATGGTGGGTGCTTGTAGTCTCAGCTACTCAGGAGGCTGAGGCAGGAGAATCACTTGAACCCGGGAGGTGGAGGTTGCAGTGAGTGGAGATGGCACCAAGACACTCCAGCCTGGGTGACAGAGTGAGACACTGCCTCAAAAAAAAAGAAAAAAAAATGTGGTATGAACCACAGCTAAACTATAATCAATTAGAGAGTAAGCCAGACCATCTCAAAGTATATCATCACTTATCAGGCAATAACATGCAATTTCTAAAACCTAACTTAAATGCAGGTTTTAAAGACATTTCAAACATGTCAGTTTAGTCACATTTCTTGAATAAAGTTAGCAAATGGATATCTCTTGAAAATGAGAGCTCCAGGGAATTAAAAAATGTAAAGTTCCCATTTCCTTTCTGTGTTAACACAGCTAATTATGATCTTTACTTCACATGCAAAAGTCAACAGAACAACTCAGTATTTCACCAAATTATAAACAAGAATTACGCTAGAGAAATGAAACCCTAAAGAGAAACGGTCATATAACTAACCTCAGTCAAGTAGTTCTGGCAGTTATTTGAAGTCTGAGGTTTGAAGTAGGAATTCTTACGGGCATTTGGGGAATATATTTTCTGTTGAGTCCTATACTAGTAAGATTTTCAACACAAGGTGACTCTCGACCTCGCCTTGTAGGAAGAGTGCTGAGAAAATATTTCACCTGCTCTTTCTCCATAAAGAGCTGATACTGATCATTGCTATTTTCTTATTCGATCTGTAAAGGTAGCAAAGACAAATGCTTAATATTTCATTTTTCCTTAAATGATTCTTAATGACTTGCAGTTTTTAAAAACTTACCCTGAGAGTAAACCACATTACCCACTAAATAGTGTTTTCACACAGAAGATGTGTAAGAGCATACCTGTTGTAAGGAATTATAATTTTAAAATCATTCTAAAGAAGCACCATTGTTTCTAAGGTGATTTCTACTGAACTAGCAGTTCAAACAAAGTAGACAGGGAAGAGAAATGGCTATCAGTGATGTATGGCTCAACAGGTAAAACTTCCTGCCTTCTAAAATGGCTGTACTTGGAAGATTCTGAAGATTCCATTAGAAATACTTGTATTTAAAGGGTAATAATGTGGGAAAATGAATATGTTGATTTGCTTGATTATAAGAACCACTTCACTAGAAATAATTATATCAAAACATCATGTTGTACTCCTTAATGTACGTTAAGAAAACTAAAATGAACGAAAAAAAATCTAGGAACACTTGTGTTTAGTAAACCAGTTTTAGATTTCACTCTTGTACATTTCACCCATTATCTAGGACCAATTAAACATTTGGCACTGAGGAATAATTCAGAGCAACAACTCCTAGGGGAGAACTAGATTGTCTGGTTGGTGATCAAAAAGAATTAAAGCATCTCTGAAGGCAATTAGTCCCCAACACTGTGACCAAGGCCCTGGAGGTGGGGCATGTTCTTTCTGCCTTCCACACACCGCTTCAGGCTGAACAAGGTGTTATTTTTTAACCGCTTTGTGAATTACACTTCTTTAAATTCCTGTGATAATTATTCCCTATTTCACAAGGGTGCCTTTCTGTAACATCTTGAATATGTTACACAAATAGTCTTTCTTGAGGCACCCTCTGGTGATAATACTAAAGATCACAATCAAAAACAATTGTGCCCAGAGTAGAAGTACCACTTTGCATTTAGGTTGTGATCCACTGAAAAGTAAATTAAACACATTAATATTTCTATTTAGGGAAATTCTGACAAGTAATTTTATAACAAGGTCACTTCATTGATTATAAAGCTTCAAAAATACTTAGTGAAAAAAACTAACAGATCAGGTTAATTACATGAGACTTTTCAGGAAAAAAAGCCATACAAAAGCAAAAAAAAAAAAAATGAGAGGAGAGACAAAAACTATCTTTGACTAACATTTTAAAGGTAAAATTATTTACTAACATTATTTTTCAAAATTACATTGTCAAATTAGCATTCACTTCCTTCTAATCTGAAGCCATCTCACTAAAAATTATGCTTTTGAAACAAATTAATGAGCTTAATTCATTTTCTATGAGTGTATGTTTTGACTTACTTAGTTAATTTTTTTGACATGGAACTGTTAGCTTTCAATGCTGCTGTAAAGGCTTCCTTATATTCTTCTAACTCAGTTGTAACCTCTTCATAAGCAGTTTTCATTTTGTAGAATTTACATTCCACATCTTTAAGTGTGAGTTCCTTCTTATTTAGTGAAGCTGTATTATATCCTTGTTTAACTGCTCTAATTGTTTTTTATATTGTGCTTGTTCCTAAAACAGAGGAAAAGAATACACTTTTAAAACAATTATAACCTAATTATTATGTTTGTTGCCTTTCATTTTGAGTCAGCGATTCAAAGAGTATTTTTGAATATGTTAAAAAAGAGGATGAAGTTTAAAATATTTCAGCAATATCAAAACTAATAACTGAATTCAGAATTAAGTCTGATTTGTAAAAATTTGAAATCATAATTATGCTAGTATTAATGTAATCTGGTCATATAAAAAGTAATAGAATCCATTCATAGTTTTAAAAAGTGATCAATGAACACTGTAGCTTAAGACCAATTCATAATTATCACATAATTTCTAAATCACAATTTTTTCCTATGCCAACTGGTCTTAATCATCAAATTACTCCATAATGAGAATCATTACTCTGAAAGATTGATTTTGTTATAATAATAATGGAAATTTAAATATTTAAAAGAAAAAACAGATACCATTTTTTTCTAGAACTCTACAAAGCAGATTGCTACAAGAGAGGTAATCTCTCTCTCTCTCTCTCTCTCTCTCTCTCTCTATATATATATATATATATATATCTCCAAAATATAATTTGCAGTGAAATAAATGAAAGCACATTACAAGTAAACTTACCTGATTTAAACAACTCACCTGTAAATGGATTTCTTCTAATTTTTCTACTGCCTGCATTGCCCTTTCATCTAGCTCTGATTTATATTCTTGTAGTTTACTAAGTTCTACCATACTGTTTTCCATATGTGTCTTAAGATTTAATATTTCTTCTTCCAACATCTTTTTATCCTCCTCAAGTTTTTCACATTCCTGTTGTACTTTTTTCATAGATAATAACTCCTGTTGAAAAACTTGATTCTCTTTAGCCAAATTGACACATTTTGAAGATACAGCTTCCTTCTCCGCCATAAGATCATCAAACTGCATGAATAAAATAGTATAGCTTGATAATGAAGTAGGCTGAGAATAATCTAATACAAAACCAATAGCAAATTTTGAAATGCATTTACTTGCAATAAAATGTTATCTGTAATGCAGCAGATTCTTCAAATGTGAACCCTTAAATTACTCAGAATTTTAAGAACAAAGTTAAAGCTACCATGAGTCATAAAAATATATTCTTTACTATCATCATCTTTGCCACAGAATTTTTGTACTTCATTTTACTTTTATTTTTCTGATAATTCATTTTTGTTCCTCCTTAAATGGCACAAAGTTATCTCCTAGTAAAAAGTGTCTAACCCCCTTCCTTCATTATCATTCCCCACAGTATGTCAAAAAAAGTTTCAGAGATATCATATTGAGTTATTTAGGCCAAAGTCAATAAATGGGTCTAGGAATAAGACTTTGAAAGTGATATTACACTCTATATTAGGCATGGTGGCTCATGCCTGTAATCCTAGCACTTTAAAAAGCTGTGGCAGAAAGATCACTTGAGGCCAGGAATTTGAGATCAGCCAGAGCAACATAGTGAGACCCCCATCTCTACAAAAAAAAAATTTTTTTAATTACCCGGGCATGGTGGCTCATGCCTGTAGACCCAGCTAGTTGGGATACTGAGGCAAAAGGATGGCTTGTACCCAGAGTTCAGGGCTGCAGTGAATTATTATCGCTGCACTTCTGCCTGGATGACAGACAAAGACCCTATCTCAAAAAACAACACAAAATAATGAAATCTATGATTAAGGATTCTGATGCTATAAGCCTTTCCTTAAACTGCAAATGTTTCATGCTAATTTGAATTGCATTTTAAGAAGTAATGATTCTTGGGGTAAAGACCATAGAATATGGCACCCAGAAATAAATTCACATATTTCCAGCCAACTGATTTTGGACGAACATGCCAAGAACGTACGCTGGGGAAAGGACAGCCTCTTCAAATGAATGACACTGGGAAAACTAAATATCCATATGGAGAAGAATGATATTAGCTTCCTATGTAACACCATATAACAACATAAACTCAGAATCGATTGAAGACTGAAATGTAAGGCCCAAATGTATCAAACTACTCTAAGTAAATATAAGGAAAAGGCTTGAGGACATTAGTCTGCACAAAGATTTTTATGGGTAAGACATCAGAAGCATAGGCAAACAACAAATCATAGACAAAAGACACTACATTAAGCTAAAGAGCTTCTGTCCAGCAAACAACTGAGTGAAGAGAAAACCTGTAGAATAGGAGAAAATATTGTCAAGCTATTCACCTAATGAGGGACTAATATACAAAATATACAAAAAAACTCAAACAACATCACAGTAAAAAAATCTGAGTTTAAAACTGGGCAAAATATCTAACTATACTTTTTTTTAGAAAAAGAAATACAAATAGCCAATAAATAAATTTTAAAATGCTCAGTATCACTAATCCTCAGGGAAATACAAATCAAATCTACAATGTGATATAATCTTGCTTCAATTTGAATAAATTGCTGTCATTGAAAAGACAAAAAAAATAACAAATGCTGGTGAGGCTCCAGAGAACAGTAAACTCTTACATGCTGTTGGTGGGAAGGTAAATTAGTGCAGCCACTATAGAGAACAACAGGAGGTTTTCTCAAAAAAACTAATAATGGGACTGGCGAGGGATCCAGCAACCCCACTACCGGGTATTCAGGCAATAGAAAAGAAAACAATAGATCAAAAGGATATCTGTCCTCATATGTTTACTGTAGCACTATCCACAACAGCTTGTGTATGGAATCAACATACATGTCCATCACCAAATGAATGGATGAAAAACTGTGGCACACAAACACAGTGGAATACTATTCACCATATAAAGGAATTAAATCCTGTTATTCGTGGCCATGTGGATCAGTCTGATGGATGTTAAGTGCAGACACAGAAAGATAAATACTGCACATTCTTACTCATGTGTGGGAGCTAAAGGAAAATTAAAGGCTGGGCAATATGGCTGATGCCTGTAATTTCCTAGCTCTTTGTAAGACCAAGGCAAGAGAATCATTTGAGGCCAAAAGTTCCAGAGCTCCCTGGGCAACATAGGGAGATATCTCTACAAAGTCAAAAATCAGACATGTGCAATGGTGCATGCCCATAATGCCAGCTGCTCAGGAGGCTGAGGTGTGAGGATCTGATGGGCCCAAGAGTTTGAAGCTGCAGTGAACTATGATCAAACCACTGTCTCCAGTCTGGGTGACTACAGTTGCCCAGAGCCCAGACTACACTAGCAAGACCCTGTCTCTTAACAAAAAAAAAGCTCACAGAAGTAGGGGAGGGGAGGCTGGTTAATGGATACAGAATTACAGTTAGATAAGAGGAGTGAGTTCTGGTGTTCTGTGGCATTGTAGGGTGAATATGGTTAACTATGACTTATTGTATATTTTTAAAAAGCCAGAAAATTTTGAATGTTCACAATTCAAAGAAATGAAAAATGGTTGAAGTAGTAAATGTGCTAGTTAGCTTGATCATTACACACTATATACGTGTATAAAAATATCACTCTATAGCCCATAATTATGTATATATGTGTCAATTAAAACAAAAGAGAAGCTACATTCATCCCATTTAAAAAACAGAATATGGGCCAGCCTTACTGACTTCCTTCTAATGAGTAGAATGTAGTGAAAGGGATACCATGTGGCTTCCCTATCTCAGACTGTTTTCCCTTGGAACCCAGCCCCTATTGTGAGAGCCATCAGGCCACAAAGAGAGCCTGAAAGTGCCTGTGTCAGTGTTCATGCTGCCTGTCCCAACCAAGTTTACAGCCGATGGCCAGCATCAACCATCAAACAAGTGGGGGACCAAAGCTTCAGAGGATTCCATTTCCGCAACTGATCAGCTGTTCCTAGGGAAGCTGAAGGGAGCAGAGCAAGCTGTCCTGGCCAAGTTTTTCCCAAACCACAGGTTCATGAATAAAATAAATGTTTTTCTTTCAAGCCACAAGACTCTGGGTAATTGTTAGGAAAATAAGTTTTAAAAAGAGACAACAGGAAACATAACTTATGCAGCAGAAAAGAGTCTCCTTTAAAGCAGGATCTAATAAAGGTTGATATTTATTTATTGATGTCAAACATTATTGAGAAGCAGTAGATAACCAGGAGAGAGACATAAGCTGCTGAGGAGGAATTTTCCTAAAACAACTTCAATAATGAACGCTGATAACAAGGCAAGGGTGTCTTCTTACAATTTCCCCTCAAGTTAGGAAGTAAGACTGGGAAGCAAGAAGATGTATGATTTGAAAAACAACTAGAAATACTGGGTGACATAGGCAAAATCAGACATTTACCTGATTTCAATTAACTAAAATTCTAAAAGAAGAAGTTTTGAGTATTTATTAATCAACCTAGTATTCAATTTTCATTTTCTTTTCTAAATGAGGAAATAAGGAGAATATTATGGAATGATTTTTATTCTTCACAGAAGTAAAATAAGCATAGTGTGTTTTGAGTGTTAAGACACAAATGCAATTTCTCCTTTACCTTACTCCAAGCTTGTTTGTATGGAGAAGTTAAGACCATCCCATCTCTATGTTATGCCACAATGCTTCTCTATAGCACACAACTTGGCTCTGAAATTTTGAAAGTCAAAATACTAATCTACTATGTGTCTCTGATAAATTGCCTGAACCTTACCTGACTTTGAAGTGCTGCACTCCTAAGACTTTTTCTTGGAATGAGTTAAACGTTTTATTCCAAGAATCCTCTACTGAGCTAGAAAGCAGAGCTGTGCATCTCTGTTTCAGTAAAAGGAGGTCAATATAGGGAACTGTGGTTTCTGAGAATGCAAGATCTGCACTAATAAAAGGATTAGCCACAGTGCTACCCAAGAGAACCAGCTACCAGGAGAAAAGAGGGTCTGTAAACTGCAAGATGATGACTTCACTTGATTTCCACTGAGGAAAGCTGGCGGCTCAGACTTAAACTTCTCCTTCCTAGATGGTAGACATCTATGGAAGGTTCTATGAATTATAATGAGTTAGTAAAACATAATGCACTGAATATTAGACTATGTCAGCAGATCCTGTAACCAAAACTTACTGAAAATATAACTATAGTGGGAGGCAATGGAAAAGAGACTAAAGGCTTGAATGGAGAAAAAAAGAAATTAAGTGTGTCTTGTAAGCCTGGCGTCTGATCATGTCTTAGAGGAAGTAAGGTATAAGCTGGCCAGAGACTCCTTTGTGACACAAAAGGTGAAGTTACAGACATTCCACTAAATTTAATTTTTATTATGACATAAGACAACTGGTAATATGCAACATGATTGAAAAAAACTTCTCATTCAATTCGATTGGGCCTTGACATAAGAATAGACATAAACAAGCTAAGAATTGACAATCTAAAAATAAGCCTGCACTTTTACAGTCAATTGATTTTATACAAGCTTCACAAAAGAACAAAATGGGAAAAGAATAGTCTTTTCAACAAATGGTGCTGGGACAACTGGGTATCCATAAGCAAAAAATAAATAAATTTCGACCAAATATCTTATTTAATAATTAACTCAAAATAAAATAGTTAACTGTAAAAGCTAAAACTATAAAACCCTCAGAAGAAAACACTGGCATAAATCTTTGTGACTGCATTTGCCAGTGTTTTCTTAGCTATGACTCCAAAGGAAAAATGGATTCAATGGACTTCAAAATTGAAAACTGCTGTGCCTCAGAAGACAGCATGAAGAAATGAAAAGGTAAGACGCCAAGTAGAAGAAAGTATTTGAAAAGTGTGTATCTGATAAGGGACTTACATATATAGGAAATATAAATAACTCTTGCAATTAATAAATAACAAGATAAGCCAATTTTAAAAAATGGGCAAAGATTTTGAATAGATATATCTGCAAAGAAGATATAAAGATGGAAAAGCACATTAATAGATGCTTAATGTAATTAGTCATTAGGAAAATGTAAATCAAAACCACATGTGGTATCACTTCACACCACAGGATAAAATCTTTGTTCAAGAAAAAAGAGTGTCAGGAAAAATGTAAAGAAATTAAAACCCTTATCTAATGCTGCTGGGAATGTAAAGTGATGCAGCCACTTTGGAAAACAAACTGGCAGCTCTTTAAAGGGTTAAGCATGAAGTTACCATATGACACACAAATTCCAGTCATAAGTATATACTCCAGAAAAATAAAAACATACGCAAGCACAAAAACTCATACATAAATGTTTACAACAGCATTATTAATAGTAGTCAAAAGGTGGAAAGAACCAGAACGTCTGTCACCTTTGGCTGGGAGAGAACCCAAAGGTCCATCACCTGGCGAATGGATAAATAAAATGTTTGATGTATCCATACAATGGAATATTACTCAGCAATAAGAAGAAATTAAGTACAGATACCGTATTAGGAGGAGACAGCAAAATGCCTAGGCAGATACGGAAGGGTCCCCGGAGAATCTCCAACGAGCCCCACAAGTGTTTACACCTGATGTTATGTGCAGATAAGGGAACCTGGACTTGTCTTGCCTGGACATGCCCACAGCAGACTGGAGGCCCACATGCAGTGGGGGGATGGGGTGGAGTCACCAGGAATTCACACCTTATGCAGAGGAGGAGCCTGGCCGCTTCAGCTCATGTGCTCCTGGTATTCAATTGTGAGGTGGAAACCTCTTTGCAGGACCCCTCTCTTTGCTGAGAGCTGTGCTTTCACATAATAAATTCTGCCCTCCTCAATGTGTCTGCAGGCTTAATTTTTCCTGGTCATGAGAGAAGAACACAGATGTAGCTGAACTAAGGAGCAAAAACCCGGCATCAATACCTGCTACAGCACAGATGCAGCATGAAAAATTATGCTAAGTGAAATAAGCCAGTCCCAGCAGACCACTTGCTTTTTATTTCAGAGGCTTATAGGCAAATCTATACAAAGAAGGTGGGTGGTTCCCTAGGGCTGAGGGAGGAAGGGAAAACTAGTGAAGATGGCTAAATGATGTGGGGTTTGTTTTTAGGGTGATGAAAATGTTCTAAAATTAATTGTAATGATGACGGCATAACTCTCTGAAAATACTAAAGTTAATGAATTCTATACTTTAAATGAGTGAATTGCATGGCGTGTTCATTATTTCTCAATAAACCTGTTACCCCCCACCCCAAATTAATTTGGTACTAGAGATCTGCAGATAGGTACTGCTTGGTTTCAAATCACTGGCCAGGGTTCAAGGTCTAAGAGAATCAACAACATGTCCTTTTTATAGAAAAATAGATTTATATTTTACAAGCTATCCTTTTCATTAGTATCAAGTCTGTAAAATTCAATGAAAAATCTTTCTTTCACTGCTTAAAGCACTGACAGATTTATATAGAGGAATAAGACCTTGTTTTCCTTGGCCCTAATTTCTATCTAAAGGGTCTGGGAAACACACCCTTCAAACTATCAAATCTCATCAGATGGGTTTTATTAACACTTATAATGTGGCTTCCTTTCTAATCTGATTCTGGTGCAACATCACAGAGAGAAGAAGCTGAAGGAAATCAAAATAATTTACCCCCAAATATATTGTTTGACGTATTTTGAAATGGCTGCTGCAGGGCCAAGAGATTGAAATGGCCCTCATTAAGGTAGCCCAATCTCCCCTTCTAGGTCTTCCCAGATCTGGGGAAGATTAACTAAAAGCCTGAGGCATTTAAAGTTTGAAAAGATATATTTACTCTCTATTTTCTCAACATATTTTGGCAGAATTTGGATTTTTCCATTATCAATATTTTCCAAAATGCATGATTTTTAATACCAAAACTGATTTAAAATTACCATACGTTGGAATATAAATTATTCTATTATAAAGATACATGCATTTGCATGTTCACTGCAGCACTATTCACAATAGTAAAGACATGGAATCAACCCAGATGGACATTATCAGTGATAATGGGATAAAGAAAATGTGGTATATATACACCATGGAATACTATGGAGCCATAAAAATGAATGAGATCGTGCTCTTTGCAGGGATATGGATGAACCCGAAGCTGATATCTTCAGCAAACTAATGCAGGAAGAAAAAACCAAACACTGCATCTTCTCACTTATAAGTGGGAGCTGAACGATAAGAACACATGGACTCAGGGAGGGGAACAACAAACACTGGGGCCTGTTGGGGTCAGGAGGGAGAGCATCAAGATCAATAACTAATGCCCACAGGGCTTAATATCTAGGTGATGGATTGATAGGTGCAGCAAACCATCATGGAACACGTTTACCTATATAAGAAACTTGTTGGCCAGACTGGTCTTGAACTCCTGACCTCATGATCTTCCTGCCTTGGCCTCCCAAAGTGCTGGGATTACAGGTGTGGCCACCATGCCTGGTGGCTATTTCTCTTTTTAAATTCTCTCAGGACTCCTAAAATCTCAAAACTTTGACCTAGATTCCCTAATCTACATTTCCAGCTCTGACCATTTTCTTGAGGTCTCTTCCTTCTAGTACCCATATTATAGAAAATATTCTCAACCACATGCTCATACATTGCTAATTGGTGCAGATTACTTTTGTAGATAGTGAATGTTGTCTATTTTATGTTGGTTCTCATTAATGTTACTTTGAGTATACTGTTATTTTCTAATCTCAAAGGGGGACTATCTCACTGTTATGATACTAACCAGTATACTTTGTCCTTTTTTTCTTGCTTTCTTCTTTTTTGGACCAGTATACTTTGTCCCTTTTTTTGTTTTTCTTTTTTTCTTTTTTTGATGGAGTCACACTGTGTCATCCAGGCTGGAGTGCAGTGGCACCATCTCGGCTTACTGCAACTTCCACCTCCTGGGTTCAAGTGATTCTCCTGCCTCGGCATCCCAAGTAGCTGCGACTACAGGTGCACACCACCACACCTGGCTAATTTTTGTATTTTCAGTAGAGACAGGTTTTCACTATGTTGTCCAGGCTGTTTTTGAACTGCTGACCTCAGGTAATCCACGCACCTCAGCCTCCCAAAGTGTTGGGATTACAGACGTGAGCCACGGCACCCAGCCCTCTTTTTCTTTTATGATGAAAACTTTCCCATGAGAATCATATTATCAATTGTTTGCCTTTGTTTTCTTTTAAAGAAATTCCTTTTCCATAGAGATATGGCATGATGAAAGTCTTGTTCTAAAGTTTCTTTTGGGGGACATTTAACTATGTCATTGGGAAGCTTCAGTAAGTAGAGATCTCCCTTCTTCTCACTCAAGATTCTTCATCTCAAAATGGTGTCCACCAAATGTCTTAACCCAGTTAGTCTTTTGTGTAGAAATTCATGAAATAAGAACCTTCTTGAGAAGTTGGAGGCTAGTGATTGAGATGGTTTAATGCTGCCCCTTATTATATGTTTTACTCCCAAGGTAGACATCAAAGTGGCTAATAATTCTATGACTGATGTCTAACTCACTTCTAAGGGAATCTATACAAAACGTTTTATTTATGAGACAGAGTCTCCCTCTGTTACCCAGCCTGGAGTGCAGCGGCTTGATCACTGTTCACTACAGCCTCAATATTCCAAGCTCAAACGACCCTCCTACCACAGCCTCCCAATGTAGCTGGGACTACAGGCGTGCACCACCATGCCTCAGATAAGTGTTTAAATTTTTTTTTTTTTTTTTTTTTTTTTTTTTTTTTTTTTTTAGAGACAGGGTCTCACTATATTGCTCTGGCTGGTCTCAAACTCATGGGCTCAAACGATCCTCCTGCTTCAGCCTTCCAAAACCAGGTGTTTAACTGGGGACTAACATGAAACACTTAGAAGACTACGTGGAACATAGTGAGCTACATAAAATATTTGCTATTAGCATAATAATTTTATTGTATATCTTAACAAAATTGTGTATTTTAGGCAGGTGGCATGCCAATGGAAGTACTCTCCTATAGCTGCACTGAATCATTCTTACCACTGAGAGTTGCAGCAAATGGGGGACATAATTTATAACTTACTTTTCTCTCTGTATGACTCATTAGGCAATGACTATGTATGTACTACAATGTAAACAGCACCTCCTGGATTGAATAGTACATAACTGACATGACCAGCAGAGACAGGCTAAAGACACTGAGCTGAAAACCCTGGACTCTATTGCTAAATCAAGGCTCCTGAATCCGTTCCCTCTGAGCAACTGTTGCTGTGGTGCTGCCTTCACAAGCACTCTGCTGAGCACACAGATTGAGGGGCTGTGCTATCCGTCATCGGACAAGCTGCACCCAGAACTGTTCAGCTGACAAACTGGTAGCAGTCCAGAAACACAGTTCTGCTGCATAGTGAAAAAAGGCCAATTTACATTATTTTTCATAGAGAGAAAAACATAAACATGTGATTGAACGAGTCTCCTGTATTAGACTAATTGGGTTGGCTTTGATATTTAATTGCTAAAAACACACTTAGAATACAAACCTTACTGTGTCAAGGTCTCAAAGAAGAAATAATTGGTATGGTATAAAGTATTGAATTGTATGCTACAAACTTCTAAGCTAAAATATTTTCAATGTATGCAAGGATAGGTGGCATACATATTATATATTATTCCCCCATTAAGCAAATTTATAATGAGAGAAAACTATCTTCCATAAAAAAATAAAAGCCATGTAAAATTAAGAACTAAGTTTTTCTGCACAGACTAGACAACGATTGCTAACACATGAGGTCAATGAGAGAACACTCAGAGAAAGCTTCATGAAAACAATAAATTGTCTGCCACGTCTGAGTGAATGAGGCTAGATGAATAGAAACTGAGAAGGCAGAAAGGATAGCATGAGCAAGACAAGTGCTGAAATCTGCCCAATTAACTCTGAGGATAAAGTCCAATGGCAGAGAAATAAAAACGCTTGTCCACATAATAACCTGTAAGTGAATGTTCGCAGCAGCATTTTTCATAAGAGCTAAACAGTGGAAACTAACCTAAAGGTCCATCAACCGATGAATGAATGGAAAACCAGTATAGACATGGAATAGAATATCACTTAACTATAAGAAGAAATAAACTACCAATGTGTGCTAAAACATTATGCTAAGTGAATTCTGAAAACATTATGCTAAGTGAAAAAGCCAGTCACAAAGGACTACGTATTGTATAATTCTATGTATATGAAATAAGCAGAACAGGTAAACATATGGAGACAAAAGTAGATAGATGGTGGTTGCCTACAACAGAGGTAGGTGGAGGGACATGGAGGAAGGCTGCAGTCATGCCTAGGAGATGTGGGGTTGCTTTTCAGGTGATGAAAATGCTGTGAATATACTAATAGATACTCAGTTGTACATTTTAAATGGTTGAACTCTCTCAAATGTGAATGATATCTCAGTGAAACTGTCTTTAAAATCCAAAGGCAGGATCAAGATAATTTTCTCAACTCTCAATTTTTGATGTACATGTTATCTCAAATTTAAATATTTCCACAGTTTTATAGTATATTTTAAATAAAAGATAAAGAAAATGCCTAACTTTTCAAATAGTTTGTAAATTAACCTAAAACATGCACTTTTAAAAGAATAGTATAATGGCCTTTCTGTACAAGTTAACCTAGAATCTGTGAAATAAATAGACACAGATTCTGTGTCCACTCACAAAAGTGAAGAAATAAGACAATTTTCTGGAACATTCCATGAAACATTCTTCTCTGATTTAATCTGGCCTGCCTCATCAGAGCAATACAAAAATTACTTAAAAATACTGTTTTAACAGGACAAAAGTCAGTTTTCTATGAGGAATGATGTATAATTCTCAACTTTTTCAAGGGTACATATTGTAAGAGAAAAGGTATGCAATGGTTTTTCAAAATGGTAGAATGAAAGTCACTATATAAAAAAATAAGTACATTATAGAGATAGTAAAATGGAAATAATTCATTGTAATGAAAATAAAAAATCAAGCTTCTGCCATAATTAGTATCCTAAAACATGTTATGTAATTCAACAAGCTACAGAATAACCGTTGACATGCTAAGTTCCATACATACTTGACTTTCCACTTGAAATAATTTCTTCTTTGGGACCTGTGTCTCATCCAAATTAATGTGATAATGTGATATACTTCCAGTGGAGACTCTAACATAGTTAATTTTTTTAGGCTGTCAGCTGCTTCTTGCTGAAGTTGTCTCACAACCACCTGAGAAAATAGTTTTGTTACTGATTTTATAAATTGCCTTATTATTAAATTATGTTAATAATATTTAACTCTAACATACGTACTTTGAAAATTATCACCACACATATCGATTCACCTTCTTTTAATCACATGTACACATTTTTATTTATTACTGAATTCAGTGAGGGATGCACAATATGTTCTCTTCCTGCCAAATTGGTATTCTCTTACTTACATAACAGATTCATCCCACCATTCAATCATCTTAGAAGCTCAACTCAACCTCAAAGTTCCTCACATATTCAATCACCTGTTCAAATCCTTCCAACAGATTCCTATCTCAGAATAAAAGTAAAATTCCAATGGCCTTTGAGGTCCTAGGTAAACAGGTCTCTACCTCCCTCTCTGACTTCAAAGCTCCTACAACTCCCTCCTGTAATTACTCCATTCCCACTGTACGTGAAGCCTGCCACCCCTCAGTCTGAAAATAGGGATCTAATGCCTTATTCATAAATCACAGGCAGCTACAAGTATCTTTGTACTGAACAAAATTATATTCCAATGATAGCCATTGAGCCTTGAAATAAAAATTAGGAGCTAATTATTAATATAAATATTCAAAGTAAACTATAAATACCAGTGGGAAGACTAAACCAAATATACTTTTGCTAAATATTACCACATGTATCCTAAATTATGATTTTATAACAAGTAGGTGCCTTTAAAACATTACATAGTCATAAAAATATGTAATTTGACATATTTTCAGATTTGTTAAATTAATATGATTAATAACAAAGATATACCAACTAAAATACATAAAAAGCTACTTAAAGCAAGGTATTACAAGACACAGCAATACACTTCAGTTCATCTGGGAAATCTAGAATTAAGTGTCAAAGAAAATCAATTAAATTTTAATTTGAAAATACTCATTTCAGGTGTAAACATTTCCATTTATACTTACATTATGGTCTTAACATGTGGCAACATAAAGTCATTAAAATTATTATTTCACCAGTACAGAACTATCTATCTTAAAATATGACTCTGTGCCTAATAAAATTTCATAGGTGACACAATGTCTTTTCTCAAAGTAAATCATCTCTCACCTCTACCTTTTATTTCCTAGAAATGGGGCACGTTTCTAAGCTGGTATAGTAAACACGGTTTTCCTTTTTTTTTATTAAAACAGCTTTGTTGAAATATAATTTACATACTATAGAATGTATCTGTTTTAACTTAAAGTTAAAAGATTTTTTAGTCCATTTACTGAGTTGTGCAGCCATCTCTACAATCCAACTTTACAGCATTTCCATCACTGCAAGATCCCTCACGCCCATTAGCAGTCACTACCAGCTTTCAGCCCCAGCCCTTTGCAAACATTAGTCTACTTTTTGTCCCTATACGTTTATCTTTTCTGGATGCTTCATGTAAATGGAATTATACAGTATGGTAAACACACTTTTTATCCATTGATTTTTATATTCAACTAAGTTCAACATGTATCCAGAACCAAATGTTTAAATTTTCTTTCTAAAAGTTTGAAAACATTTATCTTCCTTGATACTTACTACTCTTTCTGCTTTCTCTCTCTCATATTGAAAGAGACTTTCTTTTAAATGATCACATTCATTCATTAGCTTCTTATTTTTCTCTTCTAGCATGTGGTCTTTCTTTCCACTCTCAATAAAGCCTCTTTGGATATTAGTTACTATCTCTTTATGATCCTCTTTCTGATGAACATCATCTAGTTGCTGTTCAATGCACGGATTTTCATGTTGGAGTTGACATATCCTCTCTTCTACACAGCTCCACTTTCCAGTGGAATTATTCACTTTAGCTTCTGCATTTTCATACATCTCTTTCATTTCCTTTATTTGCTGCTGTGTTTGGCTTAGGTCGTTTGGAGAGTTTCTAAAGCCAATGACTTTTTTCTGAGAGTATCTCTTTACTTACGGAACTTATCTTTTAAGGTATTGAATTTAATTTGCTTTTTAGAAAGTTGTTCAGTAAGAAACTCATTCTTATCTTCTACTTCGGAAATATCAGAACTCATTTTTACTTGTAAGGAAACATCTTGTGTTCACTCTAATGCAAGTTTTAGGTTTCTTTCTGTTTTCACACTTTCACTGTGCTTACTTATAGCAGCAGTCAGTCTAGACTGATAATTCAATTTCAGCTTCCAGTCTTTTGTTGCTTTCTTCTTCCTTCAACAGTTCGGAATTGAGCCTTGTATACTCAGCTTTGAGATCATTAAGCTCTTGTTGATACCGGAATGCTGTTTTTGTTATCAATTCCTCATTGAGTTTTATATACTTTTCAAGGGCAGCATTTGTTTTTTTAACAATTTTAGCGTCCTTAAGATATTTATTTTCTTTTTCCAGGTGGTCATTTTTCATTGTGCATATTTCCTGTCGGAGTATAGCAATATCTGTCTTCAAAATGCAATTTTCATCCATCAGATCTTTCATTTCTTCCTGATTATGAAAATCCTAAATAAAACAAAAGAAAGTTTTAGCTAGTACTCAATAAAATATCATGATTACCTCTGAAGTTAAAGAATAACCTGCACATCCACATACTAAAAAGGTTACTGTAAGTGGATATCCAACTGGAGAAAAAGTTGAAGCAAAACTTTGTACTTTATAGAGCATAAGTTCCAAAAAGTTCAGAAATTTATTTAAAGTCAATGAATTTATAAAAGTAAACACACACACACACACGCACACCAGAGAATTTTTAAGAATTTCAGAATTGGAAAAGCCTTTCCCTGAATTACAACAAACTCAAAAGCATAAATTAAAGCATTAACAAATTTGACTAAATTAAAATATATCAAAAATTGCATTTACACTTTGATATCTAACCCATACACCACCCTATAGTAAGAACCTTATTTCACACATATTTGGACAGATAAAATTTCCCAGAGTTATTACAGTTCTGTTTCACTGATAACATTCTATTTTAATTTGACTCTTTTAACACTTTTATAGTCAGTTGAAAGAATTACATTTACTAAATCGTAAATCTAGACATTATACTAGTCACTCCTATATACATTCATTGATGAGCTCATCTAGTTACCACAAATTTGAAAAAGAAATGTTAAAAATATAAGCAAGCTACAGGATTTTCCCCAGGACTTCTTACTCTACTTCTAGTTCTCTGACAGATCACAGTTACTTCTGTGGTGTAAATGTATCAATACGAAAGAAAACTTTTATTTCAAAACACCAATGGTAAATAAGATAAAATTTATAGAGCTCTTCTTAGAATATCATGAGATTATTTGTGATTGCAATAATTTGTTTCCTCTTTATAGTATTAGGTACAGTAATCAATATGAAATGGCGGGAAGTACAAGGAACAATTTTACTGGGAACAAAATCTTTATCAATAGGTTATCACTAAGTATATATTATGGCATATTATTGTTTTCAAAAGCTCTTTGTAATAAAATAATATCCTATGTGGATGCCAAGATTTATAATAAAAATAATTGTACCTGTAAGTGTCATCATTCATTTTTTAAAAATGAGATAACATTTCTGGTTTGTTTTAGACCAAAATATTATATATTAAATCAAGAGGATATTATAAGTAACATTGATAAAATAAAGTTTAAAATATAGAATTTTTACCAAAGATTGATTTATCTGATTTGGAGTATTTCTTGTAGTCTTCGGTTTCATCTCTAGTGATTCAATAGTTGGTTCAAGTTGTTTTGCTTCAACTTCTTTCTTATATTGTTTCTCTTTCCTTTCTAATTCTTCTCTATTTTTTTGTACAGCATATTAACATTTGTTTTTTCTTCACTTTCTTGTCTTAAGATGCATCTGCAGACAAAGACATTTATCTTAAAATTCATTTTGTTAAAAAATAAAGAGATCATCCTGTGATCTACCTCTGCAGATGCTCTTTATCATCCTAGTAAAATTTCTGTTCTGGATTATTTTTCCTTTGTAGTTCTCAAATATTTAATTTCTCACTTCAACATCTTCAAACGAATGCATATACTTGAAAAGTAGTAAGGAAAGAATATTCTGCTAAAGTTTTTATTACTAGTCACTCTAGTATGTATTATACAAAAAGATACTGGAAATAATTCAGTATAGTTAGAAGTTCAAAACTACCTTTTCAAATCACACAGTCATAATTACTACCTGATTAGAAAAGGTCATTTACAATCAACTAAATTTTTAAAGTTACTATTTATTGACAAGCGTATAAGTTCACTAGAAATAAGTTTTCATCTCTATGAAATATTGCAGGTGTCTCTCCAAATGATTTACAGAGTAAGATGTCTCTCACACAAACTATATCTGCAGATTATTGTCATCTAAAACTAGGCTAAAGAGTCTAACATCTGTTACCCCACACTTTTTCTAATTCTTTCTTAATACTTCCAATTCACCTTCTTATTACATATATTTTATATATTTATTAAGCTATTGTTCATTATGTGTAATATATAATTAATGCCCTTAATAAGTGTGTGTATGTTTACACAAGTTATGTTTTCCTGTGAAATCTAGTCCCAGAAGTGGAGTTGTTGAGTTAAGGGGATGTCAGGTTATTTGAAATTTTGATAAACAGCACTAAGTTACCCTTCAGAAATAATTTACCAATTTCATATACCAACAGTGTATGAGAATGCCTTTTTCCTCTCATTTTCAATGGTAGGAATTACTTTTTCAATATCAGCATGACTTTACAAAATATATCTTATTTTATGTTAATTTGCATTTTTCTGATTACCAGGCAGGGCTAAATATCCCTGGTAAAACTATAAAACTTTTTAATCATAATGAACATTAGTCCGATTTTGAATTAGTTTATAGCACAATGACAATTATCTGCTGAGAAATACTGCTATAGGTGGCCAGGCACGGTGGCTCATTCCTGTAAACCCAGCACTTTGGGAGGCCGAGGTGGGCAGAACACCTGAGGTCAAGAGTTCGAGACAAGCCTGGATAACATGGTGAAACATCATTTCTACTAAAAATACAAGAAATTAGCTAGGCATGGTGGCACATGTCTGTAATCTCAGCTACTAGGGAGGCTGAGTCAAGAGAATCACTTGAACCCAGTATGCATAGGTTGCAGTGAGGTGAGAACACACCATTGCACTCCAGCTTGGGTAACAAGAGAGAAACTCCATCTCAAAAAAAAAAAAAAAAACTGCTATAGGCTTACTTACCTATCATGCTCTTCCTTCAGTTTCTTGGGAAATTGCTGAGGATACGTTTTCCCAATCTTTCTTTCTTTGGTTAATCTGTCAGCAGCAGCAGAAGATGTACTATGACATACATTTTCTGATAGTTGTATTTTTTCACTTTTGTTTGTATTATTTCCTTCTTTGACCTTTAATAAAAGTAATATGAACAATAATTATTATTTTATTCAATAAAAAAAACTTTTTCCCTGATTTTTTAACTTGATTCAGGTTAACTATCGCCATTTTAATGATAAAAATATTTTGTGCTTACTTTAATTTTATCATTATACATAATAATTATAAGATACTCATCATTTTATCATTGAAATTTTTGTCAAGTCTGCTCATTTCTGTTTGAGTGAATGGAAGAATTTTCCAAAATTTCAAAAAGGACTCTTCTCCATTTTGTGCTTTTATTCGCATCCACTCTTTGCTATCTGATATAAATGTTTATGCTAGTTGACTGGCAGAAACAGAGAAATAAAAAGACACAGGCATAACATATATCTTCTGTCATTGCCACATGGATTTTACATGAAATAGCCAGATTAAGAGGAAGTAACCTTGTAGGCCTTCAAGAACAGTAAAGAAGTTTTCCCTTTTCTGCACTGAGCTATTCTTTTCCCCACTGCCTTTTATCTCTTTTTATTTTTTTTTTGAATCCTGGGATATCAAAAAAGTGAAAGTTCTCCCTGAACTATGGGAACCAATGTTTGTTTGCCACAACACAAGAAGCAGAGTGAAACTGCTGAGTTTCTAGTGCAGAATTCTGGAAAACGAGATGCTTCCCAGATTTCACATTCAATTACCACAAATGTTTATAGGTGGAACACATATGGTACAGTTATCTACTTAAGCCATATTATCTACTGAAAACGGGAGTCAAACCAACCAAGACATATGAAATGTTTCATCCAGAGCTCTTGAGGCGGCATTCCCTAGCATTTCATGGCACCAAATAACATGATACATTTCCATGTTACTGAATTACATAAATTACCAGATAAATTTATCAAATTAGTCAGATATATTAAAAGTCTAACTTGAGCAAAGCAATTTAACACCTCAGAGGGTGGAAAAAGGCCTCATCTACTTTTACTTTGAAAGAAGAAAATCTCTAGATTTTTGTCTATCTTTAGAACACAGTGTACAGAACTCAACTTTCTACTAAAGAGTCAAAGGTTAAATTTTTAGCTAAGAAATTATGCTTCTTACATGATAAAAATCATACATGCCAAAACTTACCATACTTTATTAAACAACATAATGTAAGGTCTGATTCAACAGAAATATTGGAGTGGTGATTTTTTAAAATATGTGGAAGTATATATTTGTTTTCAAAATATTAGAAATAACCATGATGGAACTATAAATTCAAACAGTTTGAGCTAAGCAGATAAACTTGCATGCATGAAAACACATTAAACAGACTCATTTGGCTGGGAATATTCATTGCAACTCTCAAGGCTAGAAGTGTTTTTGTGGCTCATCTCAGTCATTGCTTCCCTCCCGTTGTATTCCCATTCTATCATTAAATAAATGTAATTCATCTCTAAATGACTATAGTAAAAAGAATCTAGAATCTAAAACTTATTTCTTTAGCAATTTCTTTATGTTGATCTGGTTCAGAAGGTCACATGGTATATGGCTGAATTAGTTTCCCAGCTCATATGCCACTTGGAAGACTGAGAGTGAGAATTAGGTTGATTAATGAACAAACATTATGAGAACATTCTCCAGAACCGTTGTTTAGATAGCAGGACTAGTCTACTTTGACACATAATTACACATTTAGAAAACCCCGCTGTAACTGTACACATGGGATTTTCTTGAATAGAAAATTTGACTAAATCAAATAATTGATAAAGAGAAAAAAGAAGCAGCAAGTGAACCTCTGTCTTTTTGAAGTTGGACTTTCTCTTTCTCCAAAGCCAGGAACTCTACTTGTAACATGCCTACCTCATTCTTTTTACTATTATTATACTTTAAATTCTGGTACATGTGCACAATGTGCAGGTTTGTTACATATGTATACATGTGCTATGTTAGTGACCTTGAAATATCTTGCTGTAAGTTTCTAGCTCTATTTTTGATGTTCTCTCACTATGTGGCAAAGAATAACCCGGATTTTATAATTCAAGATTCATGGTTTTGTAGTTATTAACACTGGGATTGTCATTCAGTGGCTTCTGGAATAAGCATTGTGTTGGCTTTCTGTTTTTATAAGTATCTGTAGCAGCAGAAATACTGTGGCTTTCTATCTGAATCATATGCTTCATTTCTTTGGGGAAGGTAAACCACAAATCAAAAAGACTTTCTGGATCTCTAGACTGAGACCAATGCCTAATGTCTAATTTCCAATTAGTGGTATTTGGGTTTATATATTTTTCCATTTGCATGTCAAACTCTTAATCATCTTTCATTTCAATCATAATTACTGGGTTCCTTACTTTTTCAGTTTCTATATCATAACAAAAATTTTCATCATCTGTGTTAGAAACAAGCTGTGTGTCTGGTTTGTTATCATTTTTATAGTCTGATTTATTTTAATTTAAATGAAGCTTAGAAGATGACTGGTAAGTGTATTTCAGGGACCTGGAGTGTGAATGGAATAAAAAGACATTTGACATGGGCTTCCTCTGTTCAGGCGCTGCCTGGACTGCCACAGAGCTAGACCCTCCAGATACATTTTTCTCCTCAAAATCAGGGACATGATTCATCAGACTAGAGGGCACTCCTTTTTTGTTCATCCCTCTTTAGAGTTACCATGTAGGAGCTCTTCCTCAGGGCAAGCAGTAATTTTGGAGTTTTCAGAACTTTTACCAATATTCAGCTTGAACTTGTTTGTAATGAATTTTAAAGAAAGTCATGAATATATAGATTGATTCCCCTTATCACTGTTCTTACCCAGTTCTGATTCTTGAGACTTTTTTTGGTGGAGGGCAGGTGCAAAATGGAAAACAAATTTGCTTGTTTTGTTTCTCAGATGTCTTTTCTGTCAGAGTGCATGTTTTAAAATTAGCTTTAATCAAGTATAAACAAAGAAATATTAGAAAATAATTAAAATTTAACTGTGAAACTTAATCTATGTGTTGCTACTCTTAAATTATAGGATTGTAACTAAAAAGTGAAAAATAATTTGCCTTGGCTTAACATAGGACAGAAACATGAACCAGCAAGCTGAACTCTCAGTGTCTGTTTGGACTAAACTTAATGCATTTGTGTAAAATCTACCAGAAATGAATTCAAAGATGATAGGTAGTATTATAAAAGCTTCCTCTCTTACAAAGACTTTACCTCAGCATACCAGAAAGAGTGAGCCCCTACAGTGCATGTTTATTTCTGAAGATTAACTAGAGCACTAGGCAAACACTAAATTATTAAGAGCTAAACTGAACACCAATAAGAAAGAGAAGCAAAATTTTAAATTCTAATTCAAATGATATACTATGATAGTGTTATGTATCTAGATAGAATTTCTGCTTATATCCACTTCTAATATATTTTAAGTTCCGGTAGTGATAGGGTTTGGATTTTTTAAATTTTAGTAATGTTTACTATGTATTTATGTTGAAATAAAGTTATTGTTCACACCCTGACACCAAAGATCCCATTCTGCAAGGTAGGATTCTCTTAATAGGCAACTGCATTGACTTTTATGACCCCATTCACTCCCTGAACACAGACACAGAAGTCAACTGGTGACCACAAAACAGAATAAATCTTTAACCTCGGCACTGGTGTCCAGAAATATAAAACTGCAACATTTGAAGCACTGGCAATGATGACTCCTTTAACACTAGTTTAACTCAGTGGCCATTGTTGTTAAACTGTTCATAATTTCTATTCCTCAGTAATATGACCCAATACTTCATGTTACCTTGTGTATTATGAGTAAGGTTATATAAATAAAACAGCAAGATAATTCTGAAAATTTCTTGCCTCAATTCCAAGGGTAAAGACAGCTATGAGTTACTAGAGATACTAAGAATTACTAGAATAACTAATAGTTACTAGAGATAGTAAGAATATCTTAAGTTTCATAACTGATTAAGATGTTTTAAAAATTACATATAAAATTATGATCTATTGGATTCTAAAGGTATAGTCTGAAAGGTCATGTCATTTGGACTATGCTTTGTTAGTAAAGCAAAAAAAAAAAACCTAATATTAAACAAGAACTTAAATTTTCATATACCTGTGATTGCTTCTTTTCACTTCTTTTGCACCTTTCTTGCTCTTCCTCTAAAGCCACTGGTAAGGTTTGTTCTGTTGACAAATTCATTGATTTAGTTCAAATGAACTAAGAAGAGTTAAAGACTATAATCTTTATAAAAATAAATAGAGAATAACATTTCTTTGTATTTTATATTTTGAGAGTTTGAATGAAACAATGTTTACTGAAATATTTACTTCTGTAAGAAATACTTCTAATTATCCAAAACTTCAACAAACCACTTGGGGAGACACCAGATATCACCAGATTCAAGCCATGCAAAATCTCAGGGTCACTCACAAATTGTTCCACCCAACATAAGTCAACAAAACTGTTAGAAACAAAACAGAAATTTGAAATACAGTCAAAATATACAATGTAATGCTTTACTATACTTCATAACAGTATCTTTTTAACAAGACACTAATTGAGTTGGCAGTTACTAATAATTTGCAAAATTATTGTTCTTTATACCTCAATTAGTGTGCACCCCATTTTTTACATCACAAATGTTTTCCCCTGCTATTCTGAAAAATTTATTTTCATCTTTTAAGACTCAGAAAGTAGGCTGGGCATAATAGCTCACATCTGTAATCCCAGCACTTTGGAAGACCAAAATGGGAGAATTGCTCAAGGCCAAGAGTTTAAGACCAGCCTGGGAACCATAGGTAACCTTGACTCTACAAAAAATTAGACAGGTATGGTGATATGTTCCTGTTGTCCCCGCTACTCAAGAAGCTTAGATGAGAAGATCCCTCGAGCCCAGGAGTCTGAGGTTTCAGTGAGTCTCAATCATGTCATTGCACTCCAATCCTGGGTGATAGAGTAAGAACTTGTCTCCAAAAAGAGGAAAAAAAAAAAAGGCTCAGAATGCTTTGTGAAATCTTCCTTGATTCTAGCTATCTTTCTCCACACACACAGGTGTCTGCTTCGTTGGGGTCCCTTAGTACCTTGTCAATTTTTCTAGTGTCACTTTACCACCTGACATGCACATCATGTCTTTACATGTTGACCCCTTTGCTGCTAGACTGTAGAGGACAATCTTTTGAATCATCTTTGTATAAACAGTCTTAATTTTGCTAAATAATTACTTATTGAGTTCCTGCTAAGTGTTAGGCACTGGGGAATAAGGAAGGAAAATAGAAGCTGTCGGGGATGGCTTTCCTAAAGATCATCCATGAGCTGAGACTTAGAGAGTGAGGTTAGCCAGATTAAGCGAGGCAGAGGGCAGGAAAGGGTGAGCACATGCCAGGCAGCAACAAGAGAAGACAAGAAGCCTCCAAGAGAGTATGTATTTCTCTGCAGAAGAGGAATGGTGAGGGGGCCATTACCAGCAGCTCGGTAATTCCAGAGAAAAAGGCAGATGGGGAAAGGGATACAGATGGAGATTTGGGCAGAAATCAGTTTCCTTTTCTTTTCTTTTTTGGAACAAGGTTATACTCTGTCTCCCAGACTGGAGGGCAGTGGCATGATCTCAGCTTACTGCAACCCGGCCTCCCAGGTTCAAGTAATTCTCCTGCCTCAGCCTCCTGAGTAGCTGAGATTACAGGTGCGTGCCACTACCACCTGCTAATTTTTGTATTTTATTAGAGATGGGGTTTCACCTTGTTGGCCAGGCTGGTCTTGAACTCCTGACCTCAAATGATCCACTTGCCTCAGCCTCCCAAAGTGCTGGGATCACAGACATGAGCCACCGTGCCCTACCCAGAAGTCAGTTTCTGAAATCCTTATATAAACCTTTAAGATGCTTGGACATTAGGTATTCAGGACCGGTTCACGGATCTATTTGCATTAGGGATAATTCACTCTAAATACTGTGAGGAGCATAAAATTCTGAGGCATATAAATCAATGAACAAAGATAAAATATAAGGCAATGTTGCAAAGATGATGCAGGCCTGAGGAGATGTTTTCAGAAATATTTAGGATATAGGTATCAGTGGCCATTATAAGAATGAATTTCTATTGAATAAATAAATGTATATATCTGGGTCCCTGGAGAAATACACTCTGCTCATTACTTTACAAATTTTATCAATCAAATGAGAAGTAAAATAATATACATAAACTCTTTCAGTTACTTGTATTTACTTTACCCTTTTTCTGTTTCAGTTTTACTGTGCCAAGGAAATGCATTTGGGTTTTGTGGTGGTTGTTGTGGTTGTGGTTGTGGTTGTTTTTGTTTTTTGAGATGGAATTTCACTCTTCC
Organism: Homo sapiens; assembly: GCF_000001405.40. Taxonomy (NCBI): domain Eukaryota; kingdom Metazoa; phylum Chordata; class Mammalia; order Primates; family Hominidae; genus Homo; species Homo sapiens. The sequence goes on along the minus strand of NT_187513.1, from coordinate 36,088 downwards.
TGCCCAGTCTGAAGTGCAATGGTGTGATCTCAGCTCATGGCAACCTCTGCCTCCTGGGTTCAAGCGATTCTCCTGCCTCAGCCTCCCAAGTAGCTGGAATTACAGGCATGTGCCACCATGAACAGCTAATTTTGTGTTTTTAGTAGAGATGGGTTTCTCCATGTTGGTCAGGCTGGTCTCAAACTCCCAACCTCAGGTTATCTGCCCGCCTCAGCCTCCCAAAGTGCTGGGATTACAGGCACTAGCCACCGCACCCAGCAACATATGGTGATTTTGTTTTAAAAGTTCTGTTTCCTGGATCTACCAAGCTCATGAGAAAATAGAGCAAACAAGTCATTTGCATAGGTTAGAAACTTTGGATTTATAGCTTGTCCTCACTACTCTAGAAGATTATCATCATGTTTTGCAAAGCAAAATGTTAAACACAGACACAAGGGGAAAAAGAAATTAAAACTATAGGGGTGGGTGAAAAAATATTGCATAATTTATTACTGTTGACCTCATCATATGACTGATTAAGGGCACTGAATTTAACTTGGATGTGAAGTAGACCTCATATTAGCTGCAGTTAATCAGTAGACCAGGCGTCCTAGCAGAATTAAATTTGATGCTCCTGTGTTATCTTTAAATGACACAGCTTTTCTGAAAACCCTTACTCATAGCGCATGATTATCCATTAAGAAAAGGTGATGGAATATGTGAATACAGCGGAGGAGACACCACAAGGCAAATGCTCAGTGGTTCCCATTAATATTGGGAAAATCAACACTATAAAACAGAAAGCCATAGACATTATTTAATATTTGGTTTTGGGAGGTATTTTTAGTGACACTGCATACAGTTGTACCTAATAATTGCTAAATTAGAGACGTAAAAGTAAAACAAAGGCACATTGTGTTTGAGTAGGAAATCTATAGACATCTAGCTGGTTTTCCCATCCAGCCAAAAAATTCTAAATATAATCATGGTACCTGCACTCAAATTTATGTTAAATACCAACCTCAATAAAATCACTCTTTCTTCTCATTCTTTTTGTTATTTATATGTTGCTTTCCTTAAGGGAAGAATACAAATGCCTTGCTAAGAACCATTCTGTTTGGTTGTAGGCTGCATAAGGGGAGTGAACACAAAGTACATTTGACCACAAAATGACTCTTTAAAAGTCAGAACTACGGTAGCATGAAGCCAAACGAGGTAATCTACAATAAAATTTTCTATGCTTCTTTTCCTTCTTTGCTCTCTTTCTACTCTAATAACTGCGATTCACACAGGTAATGAAGAGTGTAATTCCTTGATAGAAACACAGCTCCAAGATTAATCCTTTCTTTAACTATGAAGTTCGCGTGTCCAAAATCTGTGGTAGTTGCTGTCTGATTTTTGATCACTGATGGTGATACAGATATTTATCATCAACTCACAACTTCCCAAATCTTTGAAAAGTCTTACTATTGATGGTTCAACTAGTAGAAACATGATGTAAAATATCTGAAAATAAAGTTTTTATTTATTAGAATGTAAATAATAATACAAATTGTAATAAGGTGTAAAAGTTCTTTCTTCACTGAAGCAGTACCATGTTGTCCTCTACCCCACAAATGCACTACTCCCCCGTGGTCTAATGTATTTTAAAAGTCTTGTAATTGCTATTAACTCAGACAAGTTTACTTAACTTGTTCTAAGCTTCTGGCATTTACTACAGTTTACTTTCAATCACTCAACCATCTCTGTTATATATGTTGTTTTCCATGAGAAATTTGTTTATTAGTAATTAAGATTCTTCAGGGATAAGAAAATATTTGAATAACTAAGTTTGTGCATAAACACATTAAGGTCAAATACCCATGACATTATTGTGTGTTTCTGTGTACTAGAGACAAAAACTTCAAAAAAAATTTAATGAATATACGTTAAATTAAAAACTGCTTTCATTAAACTGAGATAATCTTCCCTCAATGCATGAATACCTTCAGAATTCACATAGACCAAAGAATTGTATAAAATATAATAGCCTTAAAAATCTTATTTGTAGCTGGCACAGTGGCTCCCACCTGTAATCCCAGCACATTGGCAAGCCGAGGTGGGCAGATCACCTGAGGTCAGGAGTTCAAGAGCAGCCTGGCCAAACTGGTGAAACCCCATCTCTACTAAAAATAGAAAAATTAGCAGGGTATGGTAGCACGTGCATGTAGTATCAGCTACTCGAGGGGCTGAGGCAGGAGAATTGCTTGAACCCGAGAGGCAGAGGTGGTAATGAACCAAGACTGAGCCACTGCACTCCAGCCTTGGTGACAGAGCAAGACTCTGCCTCAAAAACACAAACAAACAAACAAAAAACCTAATTGTTCCCATATAAGTCTATGTTCATACAAGATCTGAAGAGTACACAACACCGTGAGACAGGACAGACATATATTTTAAAAGTTATATTCCTGGTTTCTGTAAAAATAAAATAGTTGAATTTAAGCTTTCAAGACAAGTCAACGAAAAGAGCAAAAAATGCAAAAGTGAAACTCGAAAGGTCATTTCCCCATCAAGGGCTCATGATCACTGGACATTCACAAACTATACTGTTCAAAACATTAGATCTGAATTTTGATCCGAGTATCCCTTTAGTAGCAGTTTCATTCAAGGATGTCCAAGAGGTAAAATAAGACAATATCATTTGCTATTTTCAGTTTTCTTTTCTGAGAACAGCCCAGCATTCTTCTTCAGAGAAATGAATTGTCCTAACTTCATAGGCTAAAGGCTCATGAGTCATAGTTCTAAGGGCATTAATAAAATATGGTGGTGCATGCTTGTATTCTGAACTTTTCAGGTTTAAACTCTCATATAGTAAATGCTAATAGATACAAACCGATTAAAGAAAAGCCCTCTTAATCTGACATTATTTTTCTTTTTATTTCTTCATTTATCAGCAACAGGAGAGTCTAACTAAATGTGGTAAAGTGGTATGAGGGAATACAATGAACAGTGTAAAATGAATTAAACCAGAGATAATCACACCAATGTGGGTACAAGTGGAAAGTATAATACAAAACACACCAAAGAAAGTGGCAGAAAGGTATATAAACTGTATAACCACTCACATACCATTTTAGGACACAAAAAATTCTGCATATTATTTCTGAGCATCACAATGTAGTTAAAGATTTCAAAAGGGCATTGAAATGAAAAACAACCAACTTATGATGTTGGTAGCCTCTATGCAATCATGTTTTAAAAACTTTAACACCAAAAAGGCTCAAAATCACCATTTTAAAAGGCTGTGTCTACCAGTCATAAATGAATCATTACTTTCATCATTTGTAGTAGTCAAAGATGCCACAAGCGCACGCATACACACATCTATATATACACCTACACACACAGTCTTACTCATTAGAACATCTGATAGGCTTCAGATCATCAGTGTAATAACACTAGCAGCAAGCCTCTGAAGTTAAAACAGAAACTGACACTTTAATAAGTAAAGCTTTCCTCTAGGTAAAGATCAGAACTCCAACTAGCACTTAACTCACTGGAAATATCTTAAGAGTCTCAAAATTCACTGCTTTGAATCCCTGACAAGTATAAAAATTTTATACTGAAAACTTCATGCTATTCAAAACATTAAAACAGAAACATCTGACCTAAAGCTTACATTTTTAAAATCTTTTTTATGCTTCTAAATTTGTTTTTATTCAAATATGGATACCAACAATAACATTTATGTCAAAGCCTTCTGTTCAATATTGAACAAATAGAATTAGGAATAAGAATAATATGAGTACATCCAATCATTGAATGTACTTTATTTACAGTATTCCATTAAATGTACCTGCTCTCAATGTCTGTACATTCTTTCTTTGTACTGCTCCTTTCACAGCAGGATCTTCCACTTCAGTGCTAGGCTGAATGGGTTTTAAAAGAAAACGATTCATAAATCATATATATTTTATACAACATGGAGTTAGTGATTCAAAAATATACATAATTAATTACCTTCAAGGAAGGATGTTTTGCAGGAGGCCCTACAAAGCAAAGGGGATATGTCATCAATTATATGTAAGTATGACAGGGCCAACCAAACATTCATGCAGTGTTACTGTCGAGCTGAATTCTCAGGCCTGGCTATAAAAATAATTACTTAAGGTTTTGAGGGTTCTTCTTGGCTTCTTCTTTTCATTGCCTAGGACAGCAACATGACAGAAACACAATGAGGAAAATAGGAATATAGGATTCCCAAAATGCACAGTTTACATTTCGGTAGTGAGATTATGTTTCAAATGCCTATACTTAAAATAGAAAAGCATTGATATAACCGTGAACACGTGGACTGATAAGGAGAAAAGGGACCATTAAACAGAGGGGCAAATTAAACCTGAGAGAATCAATGTCAAAGCTGATGGTGAATGTACAGAGTATTTTAACTCCACACACCAGAGGCATTGCTGCCAGCACAGCACAAATAAATTCCCCTTGTCTTGTCACTGAGGAAATACGCAGTTGGGATGACAGTTCAGATGAATGTGGGATTCACCTCTCATCAAAGAAAGGGTTCTACATTGATCAGCTAGGATACACACTTATGAAATAACAGCTAATCAAACTACTCATTTTTCCCATGATCACATGGGCTACTGCAGCACCTACATTTCTCCTATCCCCTCATTTGGCCTTGAATTAGAGCTCCTTGATCCACTCATGCAAGGTGGTCCATAAAACACATCAAATAAACCATGTCGAATAAGCTTCTGATATCAAAATATTTATCAAAAAAGAAAACATTGAATGACCACAGACTTGCTGGATATTAATACATATTTATATTTCAAAATCAGTGCAGTATTTATTGAAAATGATAATTTTGGTTTTCATGGAATGAATTTTATGATTACTTCTAAAATTAACTAAGTTTGGTATATTATCTTACACTGTAAAGGACTTTTATAAAACAGCTATCATATCAAAGAACTGGCTGTCTCAAAAAAATTTCACCAAAGCATCTATATGCAAGTTAATCATATCTTATTCACTCATGTCAGTGAAACTTCTCTCCCTGAGGCCTGACAGTTATCAAGTGAAATGAGCTGCTGTGGTTTACCCCAACTCTAGCACTCCCTCCTGTCTCCAGTACTCTCCACAGCAATAACCTCTTTTGTGAGACTGGGCATATGCTGAAGCAACTGGAAGTGAGTTGTCTCAAGTTTACTTGGCTTTAACTCCCAAGACCCCAGCAAATGTCCTTCTTTCCTCCTTTTGTGTCCTTTCACCATCCCTCTTCCTTTGAAAAAATGATTATCAGAACTGTCATCCTGATGCTTCCCTTCCTAACTGCTTTTTATGGATGATTGTGACCACTTTTTTCATCTGTATTCAGCAGTAGTATACACCTGTAATCTCTCTTTTTTCATCTCATTTTCCTTCCCCTGTGGCTAGAATCATGCTCAGAAATAAAAGGAAATTAAAGCTTTCCCTGGATTCTGTTATTTTTTAAATTGCTCTCCAGTGGTTCTTTTTCCAGATTTCTCTAAAGGAAAGCTATTCCCTTGCTATTCAGAGCTGTGTCCAAGGACCAGCACAAACATCACCTGAGTGCTCATGAGAAATGCAGACTCCAATACCTGCTGAGTCAGAATGTGCACTTTCCAGAAGCTCCTCAACGAATTCATGACAATTTGAATGCCCTGTTCCACACTGGTGTGCTTCCATATTGGTTTACCCTAACTGGCCTTTTTGGCCTAGCCTCAACTTCTTTCTTATTATGTCCCTGAATTTAATACTACGTTATAAACCATAATGTTTCTAATGAACTTTTAATCAGGCAAAGCTTCTCTAATTAATTTCTTCCCAATAAATCACCCAACACTATTCTTTTCATTTTCTATAAAAACAAATTATAGCCATACATGGCTGACCATTTACAGTGATGTTCATCTATGGTAGATAAAACACAGGTCTGCATGGTAAAGTACCTCAATCCTTAATGCCTCCCCAGTAGCGAGAATGACAGCAAGAGAAGGAAAATGTTACTGTAATTATATGACACATTTTGGTACTAGAAGCTCACTTTATCTTCCTTCCTATTTCTAACACCCTGTTCCTCCTTCTTCTACAGATCAATTTGACTTTACTACCCTCCATTACATACATCCACTCTTTTTTATTTATTCCATGTACACTCTTCCCTCCTCATTCTTTCTTTCTCTTTTATTCATTTCCTCTTCCCTCTCTCCTGACTTGCCTCAGGTCTTAGAGTATGTTAAAATGGAACTCATAACTCAGCTCCTTTAGTGGTACTTCCAATAGAATCAACTGCTGACCCTTGGTTAGAGACACCACTTATCACCATTTCATTTCTCTTTTACTTATGATACAGTTAATAGGACATTTTCTTTAGCTATTAAACTCTATTAGTGCTCATATTTTAAAAGAAACATTCCATCAATGCCTTTTTTTTTTTGAGATGGAGTCTCACTCTGTCACCCAGGCTGGAGTGCAGTGGCACGATCTCCGCTCACTGCAAGCTCCACCTCCTAGGTGCACACCATCCTCCTGCCTCAGCCTCCCGAGTTGCTGGGACTACAGGCACCCGCCACCATGCCCGGCTAATTTTTTGTGTTTTTAGTAGAGATGGGGTTTCACCATGTTAGCCAGGATGGTCTTGATCTCCTGACCTCATTACCCGCCCACCTTGGGCTCCCAAAGTGCTGGAATTACAGGCGTGAGCCACCGCGCCTGGTCTCCATCAAATGACTTTTTAAATAAAATACGGTTCTCACCTTTTCCTTTTCCATTGACTATTCTGTTTCCTTTTTCATGAGAAGGTCCACGTAAAGGCTCTGACACTTTCTCGGGGACACACTGCTAAGGTAATATCAAGAATTAGTTTCCATTTAAAATTATAATGAGTTGCATCAAGAGTTTCTTATCAATCTCTTTTTATGAAACTGGGTCTCACTCTGTCAACCCAGGGCTAGAATGCAGGGGCCTGATTATGGCTCACTGTGGTCTCAAACTCCAGACCTCAAGCAATCTTCCCACCTCAACTTCCTGGATAGCTGGAACTACAGGTGCATACCATCATGTCATGCTAATGTTTTTATTGTTATCTTTGTAGAGACAAGGCCTCATTATACCTCCCAGGCTGGTCTCAAGCTCCTGGGCTCAAGCAAATCTTCCACTTCTGCCTCCCAAAGTGTTGAGATAAGCAGTGTGCACCACCACACCCAGCCCTAATCAATTTCTTTAAATCAATCTCAATGTTGCCCAGGCATGGTGGCTCACACCTGTAATCTCAGCCCTTTGCAAGGCCAAGGTGGGTGGATTGCTTGAGTTCAGGAGTTGGAGACCAGCCTGGGCAACATAATGAGAACACATCTCTACACAAAAAATACCAAAAGGAGTCAGGCATGATGGTGTGTGCCTGTAGTCCCAGCTGCTTGGGAAGCTGATGTGGGAGGATCACTTGAGCCTGAGAGGTGGATACAGCAGTGAGCCAAGATCATGCCACTACACTGCAGCATGGACAACAGAGCAAGACCCTGCCTCCCCAAAAATTTCAATTTAAAATGTGAGAACAAAGAGAGATACAAACAAAAAACAAGCCTAATTAGTCAATGAAATATGAGCTTAAGCCAAGAAAGAAAACGAAAAACATGAAGTATAATAAAGTACATGGGGAAATAGATCTATAACAGAGCCTTCGGTCTTTCATAACTCTGATAATACTAATTAATATTTATGCTGCAATTAGTTTTTTGTAAGTACTTCTGTGATAGTGTTTCTTACTATAAGACATTCAATTAGCTAAATATGGTCATCTACCATTACCTGAAAGAACATTATTATAACAGAGAGAGAAAACTGGAACTTTCCATCAACTTTCCACCCAGAAAAAGAATTGGTCACCAGAATTCTAAAGAGTAATGTATGGCAGACACATGAAAAAATGCTCATCATCACTGGCCATCAGAGAAATGCAAATCGAAACTACTATGAGATATCATTTCACACCAGTTAGAATGGCAATCATTAAAAAGTCAGGAATCAACAGGTGCTGGAGAGGATGTGGAGAAATAGGAACACTTTTACACTGTTGGTGGGACTGTAAACTAGTTCAACCATTGTGGAAGACAGTGTGGAGATTCCTCAAGGATCAAGAATTAGAAATACCATTTGATCCAGCCATCCCATTACTGGATATATATGCAAAGGATTATAAATCATGCTGCTATAAAGACACATGCACATGTATGTTTATTGTGGCACTATTCACAATAGCAAAGACTTGGAACCAACCCATATGCCCATCAATGATAGACTGGATTAAGAAAATGTGGCACTTACACACCATGGAATACTATGCAGCATAAAAAAATGATGAGTTCATGTCCTTTGTAGGGACATGGATGAAGCTGGAAACCATCATTCTGAGCAAACTGTTGCAAGGACAGAAAACCAAACACCACATGTTCTCACTCATAGGTGGGAACTGAACAATGAGAACACTTGGACACAGGATGGGGAACATCACACACCAGGGCCTGTCATGGGGTGGGGGGAGAGGGGAGGAATAGCATTAGGAGATATACCTAATATAAATGACGAGTTAATGGGTGCAGCACACCAACATGGCACATGTATACATATTTAACAAACCTGCACGTTGTGCACATGTACCCTAGAACTTAAAGTATAATAATAATAATAAAGAGTAATGTATGGCTTGAAACAGTATATTTAATGGAACATGAGTTGGGTCTAACAAAAAGCTTAAGAAATGTTAATCTAAAATCTCAATGTTAAGATTCCAGTTGAATGATACTAGAAAATATATTGTAACCCTCTTTGCTACCGATGACCTATTTCTCTTTTATTTCCTTTTTAATTATGGCATAATTTCTCAACATAACATGTCAAAACTTATACACCCTTAAATATTAAAAAATAATACAATGTAAGCAATATTTTAAATACAATATTTAATGATTAGATACATTAGGTTTATTATATTACTTATAACATTCCATTATATAAAAATTCATTTGTTTATTTATTCAGATTAAACAACTATTAAGGCTGAATGTCTCATGTCTGTAACCCCAGCACTTTGAGAGGCTGAGGCGAGCAGAACACCTGAGCCCAACAGTTAAAGAAGAGCCTGGGCAACAAGGCAAAACCCTATCTCTACAAAACTCAGCCCAGCATGGTGACACAGGTCTATGGTGTCATAGCTCTATTGTTTCAACTACTTGGATGGCTGAGGTGTGAGGATCACCTGAGCCTAGGAAATGGAGATCGGAGTGAGCCAAGATCTCACCAGTGCCCTCCAGCCTGGGTGACAGAGTGAAACCCCATCTCAAAAAACAACAAGTAAAATGCTTCTTACATGGAAGACTGTATTCTAGGTACTCCAGGATACACACAAATATGTTTACTGACCTCCAGTAGCTTATGGTATGCAGGAGCTTCCAATGATCATTTAAAAAACTAAATAGAAAACCTTCTGACATTCAAACTTTCAGAATATGATATAAGGACTTTGAGTGGTTATTTTATTTTATTTTATTTTTTAAGATGTAGTCTTGCTCTGTCACCCAGCCTACAGTGCAATGGTGCAATCTTGGCTCACTGCAATCTTTGCCTCCTGGGTTCAAGCGATTCCCCTGCCTTGGCCTCCTGAGCAACTGGGATTACAGGCATGCACTATCATGCCTGGATAATTTTTGTGCTTTTTTTTTTTTTTTTTTTTTTTTAGAGACAGGGTCTCACCATGTTGGCCAGGCTGATCTTGAACTCCTGACCTCAGGTGATCTACCCACCTCGGCCTCCAAAAGTGCTGGGATTACAGGTGTGAGCCACCACGCCTGGCCAAGTAAATATTTTAAATAAACTACAATGACAAAATTATGATGATAAAGACTTACCATATTGGTATTAAGAGTCTCTGCTTCTAGAACTGGTTATTTGCAGGAAAATACAAGTTATTCAATTAGATGAAGTGTTTTATATAAACTCTTCATGGACAACTCATAAATCACATAAAAATCCCTTTGCAATACAAATCTTGAGAACATAAATTTAAATTTCTACATTTCCACAATTTATATTTTTAAATCAGATACAATGTTGCCCAGGCTGTTCTCAAACTCCTGTGTTCAAGCAATCTTACTGTCTCAAACTCCCAAGTAGCAGAGACTACAGGTGTACACCACCAAACTCAGCTATTTTTCTACAATTTTTAATACTTTTTTAGTCTCACTACAGAACCAATAATATAAGTAGAGAAACAATCTCTCCTAAAAACTATATGACACCAAAATGATAAGTTTCCAAGAACAAAAGCTATATGCTATGTGCTGAACATTTCTGCCACTAAAAATTACCAGGAGGATTCCATGATTACTGCAAACAATTTGATCCACTGAAGATTTATACAGGAATAAATATTAAGAAAGTCACACTCGTATGATTTAAAAGTCAAAGTAGTAGTATTTATCCAAATAAACTTTAACCAAATTTCATATTTCCTCTATTGGAGAAAGCATTTCCTAATGTGATTTTCCTGTGACTACTTGTTTTCCAGTTCATTTATTTTTCAGCTCCCACCCTGTCACAGTACTTACCAATCTTTATTAGTTACCAAAGTTAAACACATTTTTTGAATCAACTAGCCATGTGTATGTTTTTCTCTGACCAGCTTTCCATTACCACCATAAAACAATGATAGGTAAACCACTGCTAAATTTGAAAAGTAAATACTATGCAAAACTACACTCAGAGTGAGAAGATTAATTTTACAAGAGACCACTTTACCTTAGTAGCAACACTCAAGTCTTCATCATCCAATGTAGGCAATGAATCCACACACAGTTTATGCAAAATGCTTGAGAGCAAAAATACACAATGAAAATGAGCAAGTTGATTTCTTTACAATTTTTTTAACTGCCAGTTTATATCCAGCTTCCCCCTCAAAAAAAGGAAAACATAATCTGGGGAAAGGTCAGTGATCTATATATTAAATTATGATTCTTGATATAATTAAAATATGTCCTCTGTTCTAAAAATAGATTTTAGTTACCTATTTCTGCCTCCACCTGTCTAAATCTATAAAATATTCAATGAAAACTTACCTTGAGGTTTATAACAAATAGTGACAGTCAATATATTGGCAGAGCCTGACAATAATGTGCCCTCACAAATTATCTGTCCTGAAGCTGAACTTAAAATTCAATTAATGGATGACATAAATTTTGTTCCCTAAACTGGAATAAAACTGATGACCTAAAACAAGGTAGAAAGATCCACTGTCTCTTTTCTGTGATCTGTCTCTGGATAAAAGACTAATCTACATCACTTCAAAATGGTAGTCTTGATTCCTCAGCATGGATCCAACTTAGGAAGGTCCTATTGCTTTCCTTTACCCTAAATTGGTACAGGAAAGCCCCCACAATATTTGAAATGTATGAAAGCTAAATGTACAGAAGTCAAATAGCAAAGGTGTATGTTCTTACTGAGAATACTTTTCCCAGAAATATTAAAATATTAACAATTATAAAATCCCATTATTTTCACTCTATAGGTCCTACCTTATTCAGGTCCACATAAACTAGCAAGCCCTTAAAAATTTTCATAGGCACTCAGACACCCAAGGAGAGAGACTGCGAGGAAAGAAACAGAGTCATGATAGTTGTACCTCTATTTCCCTAAGTACTATCTAAGTATATTTCTTCCTATGGACACCCACTTCCAGATTCTACTTCTGCAGGGTTCCACAGAAGTCTCCAATCTTCAAATCTTCAGTGTATGAAAGCACAGATTCCTGAAAGAATGGCCTCAAATGACCAGGAGTAGGAGCTCTCTATATCCCTGCTCCTGAAAAACAAGCTAACTGGAGTCTCCATCACCTGCCACCAGCTATACACACTACCAACTACCCAACTGAACTCCATGACTGATTTGCCAGCTAATCATGCCCCTGACCCAGCCCACATGGACATGGGAAGGACATCAGTGAACCGTGAAAAGAGGCAGAGGTGAGGAGACACCTGTCCTGTGCCACACATCTATGTAGTTCAGCAATTTCCAGCCCCTTAGTACTCCAGGGGCTCTAAGCCACCCCTTTGTAAGTCAGGATGGAAGTAGATGACACCACATTTTTATCTGCTGTAGACATTCTTCCCAGTGTCTCAAAATGTTTTGGCATCTTTCAGTAAAAATCTTCAAGTTTGTCAGTCCTTGATTTAAAAAAAAAAAGCAGCAAAATTTTTAGAGCTCCCTTGAACCTTCTATTTTAATGTGCCTTTGTAGATAATTCCCAACATCTTGTGTCCTTCATTTTTATAATTTATCTTTATCAAACTTGTCATAAACCCCAATACTTTGATCTCTTGTAGAAGAGTCCGTACTCCTATCCAGTCCAGTGTTGTTTATCTTCAAACTTGGACTTCCCCTGCTCATTCCATTCTTATCTACTTCCATTGGGTTCACCAGCTAATTCCATTCTCATTCTATCCACAGGCTCACTCCCGTTTGTATTATTAAAACACACGCCAATAGGACATAAAAAGAAGCAAGAGTACTGGGCTTTACCATGAGTTCAAATCTCATTTCTGCCAATTCCTATGTCTAAAAAAAAAAGCTTCCTAATCTCTTTGAGCCTCACATTCTCTATCTAGAGAATCACTTGACCAGAATGTTCAATGCAGATAAAAATACTAGAAGGTATTTTAATTCATTCCAAGATTCCTTAAAATTCTGTAATTCTATGTCCTCTTGATTCTGTCTATAGAAAAACTTGGAATACATAGGCAGCAGAGTTTGAAAAAAATAATAGAACAAAAGAAACACCAAGAAAAACAGAGAAGAAAGTTTTAAAAAATGAAGACAAGATTATATAAAAGTCATGGAAAAAGCAACAAGACTAAAAAATGTATTATGGAAGTAAGCAGAAATACTTGCCTAAATGGAAAACCAAACTGGGAAGTCAAATAATTTGTCTCTAAGACTTGCCTAAACTTGCTTTGGTAAAACTTACAGTCCTATGGCCAAAGCTAAGTCAGATCTGCCCTAGAGCCTTTGAAGGTAAAAATAAGATACTGGTTACCACTGAAATCGTCAAATTTATTAGGACTAACCACATTCTAACAATAAACTTAAATGAGAGTTCAAGGTATTTAAACTCTCATTAATTTAGAAGTTAATCAAATTAATGAATCCGATTGATCTGATTCAGACCTATACTTTGATCCAAGGACTGCACAGATATCTATCAATCTATGCTGAGGAGCAAGAGAAAGGATTTGGAAGGCAGGTAGGCTGATGGTCAAACTGTAGGCCAGCTACTTTGTTAACTATGGGATCATGAGGCAATTAATCAGCTCTAATCCATAGTTGTTTATTTAACAGTAGGTTATAGGAACACAGATGTTATGATGGCTTTATGAGATGATAAATGCATAGAACATATTAGGATGTCTAGCCCAGAATACAACACTCAACAGATATTAGTTTCTTCCATCTATATTTTCTTAGTTAACATAATTTTTTAAATCTATGAAATCTTACCTGACTGCAGATTCATCAGGAATTCCAACATCTATTAAAGAAAAAGGTAAAATGCATTTTAAATCAATAATAAATGTACAGAATATTAAAATCATAAGAATGCACAGTGATGCATGCCTCTAATCCAAACTACTTGAGAGGATGAGGCAGGAGGATCACTTGAGGAGCTCAGAAGTTTGAGACCAGCTTGGGAAACATAATAAGACTCTACCTTCATAAAAAAATTGTGCACACTTGTGTGTATGCTTTACATCCTGTTTGTTGTTGTTGTTGTTGTTGTTGTTGTTTTGGTTTGGTTTGGTTTTTTAAAGCATAAGACTGACGCTTTGTTACAAAGCATTCCTTTGGGAGCATGCCTGGGATCTTATTAGAATTAACATTCATTATACGTATTGGTAGGTAATTAATGCAGTAAGAACTCTTCCCTCTGTGTTTATTAGATGCAAAGAAGAATAAATTTATTAAAATTTGGTATCTACAAGTGAGCTGCAGTATACAAGTCATCCTAGCCAAAGCCTATGAGATTGAGTAAAAATGGTATTGTTAGCAGAACAGGTGTGATGAGTCAACAGTGTCAAAGAGCATGATTTCTGGACCAAAATATGAGGGGCCATTACAACAGAGTATACACTAGTACCCCTTATCCACTATATGCGCAGAAAGACATACTTGACACGTTTTTCTCTGTTGTCACACCACAGCAACAATCATCAACAAAGAAGGCTTCTGTGACCAAATGTGTGGAGAGTTTTTCCCCACCAACAAACAAGCAATCATTCCTGCTGATGACACAATTCAATTCTCACACCCTATCTACAGATAACATCAGATTTAATTTAATTTATAAATTAAACTTTCTCATAGATATGTATGTATAGGGAAAAACAGCTTGTGATTCAGTACTCTTCATGGTTTCATGCATGCACTGGGGGTCTTGGAATGTATCTCCCACAGTTAAGATGTAGTTACTGCACTTATTTTGTTATAACACAACACAGCCTCTCTAGCTCTTCAGTTCAAACTGTTTAGTTTAGAATTAAACATGCTATCGCCAGAAACCAACAAAACATAGGAATCAGACCAGAAACAGGAATCCTTGCAAAGACTTTCCAGCCACCAGTGGAGAAGATCTCAAGAGAGATCAGTGTGTTACTCTGGCTAATACTCTTCTGGGTAAGGTGCTGGGTGGTTTCCTTAGTTGTAGCTATTTGCTCTGGCCTACGTATAACAAGGCCCAAATTCACCTGCCATTTTACCTCCCACGAAAGAACCACTGGAAAGATCACTCCGTTAAGAGCTTATCCACATTCAGAGAGAAGCTGAATAAACACTCGGGAGGTATGGCAGGCTGCCGGGCAATATTATCTGATGTGAAAAAATATATAGAAAGAAAACTATCAATGCCCTTTTACTACCAGAATGTTCTAATGCTTGCCCATCTCCCTAGTAGGAGAAAAAAACTTTTGCACCTCGCATAAAGCAAAACTCCCTTGTCATCTCTCATGACAGAATCTAGTTGTAGGTGAGTCATGTCATCATAATACAGGCTGTTGTCAACCTCATCCCTCAAAGGAAGAGGATCAGTGAGGAACTTATGTATTTACCTAATAGCATTCACTGCCTGGTCTTATTTCCAACCGAAGGTAAGTATGAAAGACTTTGTGATTCCAGTTTTATAAAGCACAACCCTTTGCACTTGTCCCCTTCCATTGCTAAAAAGTCTATCTGGACCCACCTCACAGAGCAAGATGCTCCAGGTTGTGCTGTGTAGTACGGCGTGGTGTCCTTTTCCTCAACCCTTTCTATTATGTGCCACATATCTATACAAATCATGTTTTCTAAGTATGTAAATCATATCTCAACAGAATACATCATTCTTTACAATGATAAAGAAGCAAAAGAAAAACAAAAGGACAAAGAACATCTTAAATGACTACATTCAACTGCCATGGAGCTTTAATTTTTTAACTACTCAAAAAGATATCCATTCTTCTTATTCCAACTATATGACTCTTCTGAAAAAAGTAAAACTATGAAGACAGAGTAAACATCAATTGTTGTCACGAGTTGCTAGGGAGAAAGGGAGAGATGAACAGGCATAGCACAGAGAATTTTTAGGGCGGTGAAACTGTTCTGTCGATAATATTACAGTAATAGATACATGTCATGTCATTATACATTTGTCCAAATTCACAGAATGTACAGCATCAAGAGTGAGGCCTGATGTAAACTATGAACTTCAAGTGATTATGTCAATGTAAGTTCATCAGTTGTAACAAATGGACCACTCTCTGGTGGAAAATATTAATAATGGGGGAGGCTATGCGTGTGTGGGAGGCATGGGATATATGAGAAATCTCTGTACCTTCCTCTCAATTTTGCTGTGAACCTAAAACTACTCTAAGAAATAAGGTTATTGATTTAAAAAAAATATTCAGCTGGGCTCAGTGGCTCATGCCTGTAATCTCAGCACTTTGGGAGGCAAAAGTGGGTGGATCACCTGAGGTCAGGAGTTCAAGACCAGCCTGGTCAACATGGCAAAACCTCGTCTCTAATAAAAATACAAAAATTAGCTGGGCATGGTAGCTGGCACCTGTAATTTCAGCTACCTGGGAGGCTGAGGCAGGAGAATCGCTTGAGCCTAGAAAGCAGAGGTTGCAGTTAACCAAGATCGCACCACTGCACTGCAGCCTGGGAGACAGAGTGAGATTCTGTCTCAAAAAACAAAAAAGATATTCACTGTCTATGCATCCCAGGATCTCCAGAACAACAATTAAAATAAATAAATAAAAAAGATGGCTGGGGGCAGTGGCTCATGTCTGTAATCCCAGCACTTTGAGAGGCTGAGGTGGGTGGATCACCTGAGGTCAGGAGTTCGAGACCAGCCTGACTAACATGGTAAAACCTCATCTCTACTGAATATAAAAAATTAGCTGGGCATGATGGTGCATGCCTGTAGTTCCAGGTACCTGGGAGGCTGAGGCAGGAGAATCATTTGAACCTGGGAGGTGGAGGTTGCAATGATCCAAGATTGTGTCATTGCACTGCAGCCTGGTCAACAAGAGCAAAACTCTGTCTCAAAAAAAAATAAGTAAATAAAATTAAAAATAAAGATATTCACTGAACCTGTTACTATGATATATTTAAGCAAGACACGGTGACCCTAAAAATTAGAGATCATTGAAGACCAAAGTAACAACACGTGGTCATTATTTCTCAAATTGAAGTATATAAAATATATAAAATAAATAAATTTAATTGCATGCTTAGGTAAGAAAATATTGATAAAAATGATTGAATATTTTATCTTATTTCATAATTCTAAGCAGGGCTTTAGCACAATATGAAAACTAGATTATTCATGTAATCCAAATAAAAGACAATTTTTATTCTAATTTTAACTCAGAAATTATTTTGCTTATTTAACAATTTTACTGAAAGGTAAATGAGATAAATAGGACAGATTATAATTACCTAACATTGCTATGGTAACTTATGTACAAATAGCTGTTCGTCACTGAAAGTCAAAAAAGTAACCAGCGCTGCAACTTAAGATGGATCATACAACAGAAATTAGTACCAAGTTACCTTATCTTATAATATTATGTTATTAAAATGAAATTTTAAAACAACACCAAAAATTAAGTTGGGGCTATACAAAGTGTGCAGAAAAGATTTCATATAACAGGCAAGAGACTGCCATCCTTAGAAAGGCCTGCATGCAAGGCTGGCCCTTGGCTGGTGTTTAGGAAATTGGAATTGGGAGGGTTTCCACCATTCCCTGAGAAGAGTGGCTCACTGTGTCTAAAGTTTTTATAGAAACCGCCAATGGGTGAAATCCAAAGCAGCAGCTGGTGTATCCATTAACATTCTCAAAACAGGATGCATCTGGACCCCTGTGTGCAATCTTCATAGCACACAGACACTAAATAGAAAGGCAGTCATTGCTGCCAAACAGGACCCAAATGCCACACACAGTGCAATGAAGCTATAAGCTCCCTATGGAGAGAAAAGTAGACAAATAAAAAATATTCAATATCCAATCCAAGTCCACATTAAATCTTGATTCCAGAAACGTGCATTAACCACTTCAAAGACTAAAATTTAAACCATCTTTTCTATAGCGATTTCCCATTTGGTTGGCAGGCATACAGGAGTAGAGAATGATTTAATTTACTTACAAGTATTCAGAAAAAATAGTGACCTCTACATTCAACCAGCTACAGCAGCTTAGCACCCAGCCAAAGCCTGCATCTCTCCCACCTTAAGATTTAGTGGTTGGCTAGAATTAGCAGCATCCAGGCCACATCTATCTCTGCATTCTAAGTTTGCTTCCAAGATAAAGATACAAATGCAGGCTGGCTCCAACCTAGCCAGAGATCCCAGCCCCACTCTCTGCATCCCAAAATCCCTCAAAGACCCAAGAGACTTTCCAGATTTCTACAGTCTCCTCACAGGTTCCCATGACAGTTAAATGCCCTCTCTTTACCTCAACTAGCTGCAGGTAGAATATAATGGGTACAACAGAAAATCACTGTAAGTGTAATATGAAGATAAACAGCCCTTTTAAGCATTTCATTATATTACATCTAGCTTACTTCTAAGTGATTTATTCAGATGTGACTGAAGAAAGTCTAAAGGGAAAAAAAGCAATTTAATTTGATAAATTAAAATCAATTATAGCCAAATTATTTGGCTATAACAAATTAAACATTTTAAGCAGACAGAAGATGCAAACATTTTAAGTTGACAGAAGATATAAAATGTTCACTATCAAAATGTCGCAACTGATAAAAATGTTCTCAAATATTTCTGTCTCAAACTTGCATTGTTCATTAAGGAAGCAAAATAGGTGGGACATACACAGCAACAACATCCCTCAAAAAACACCTTGGCTCATTCCTATAAGCCAGGCAGCAAATACATCATCCTTACATATGTTAATTACCTTCCAATTTCAAATTCTCAACTGTGAAATAAAGGGCCATTTTATTTGGCTGCTTCCAGTTCAATATGACTGTTTTTATTAAAACATCTCTAACTTGAAAAATATTTGGTGTTTTCTAAAAAACTGCAAATTGCCACAAATGGCCAGATAATTTGGAATAAACACCCTACAGAAAAAAATATATATTCAAGTTGCATAAGTCACTTTGAGCAATCCTTTGAAGATATTTCATTTATATCTAAATGAACCACAGGTTTAGCTGGCTTTTCCGGAAAACCAGAAGCAAATAATGTATGATTATAATGAAAACCATCTCAAGCAATTTTGAAATGAAGTACCACATGTCTTATGCTGTCCCTTCCATGCACTTGACAAAACAGCCTATAACAAATTGTTTACTTTGAGATTTAGCAGGAAAATTCCATGAGGTTTAAATGAGATGACTACTAATAAGCCATCTACCTTTGACTCTATTCCAATTAAAAATGGGTTAGGAAAGTGCTTTGAAAATCAAGTGTGTTCATCAGGGAATCATTTACCTAAGTCTTCTTAACACTGCTTAGTGAATATTAAGCCTGATATAGTAAATACACGCTAACCACTAAATTGAAGGGGAAAGAGGGAGAACAAAGAGACACGTAAAGTACACTTACTTTTTCTAGTAGGAAAAAGCCAATTAAAACTATCACCTATTAGTTTTATTGGAATCAGTCTTACAGGAGGTCAAACTTCCTACTGTCGCTACCTATTCTCAATATTTTTCTTATTTCTTCCTAAACTTCTAGAGCCGTGCTGTCCAATAAATATGTGAGCCACATATGTAATTTTAAATGTACTAGTAAACCCCATTAAAAGGTGAAATTAATTTTAAATATACTTAACTCAGTATGTCCCAAATAGTAATCATAGTAATAATTTTAACATGTAATCAATATAAAAAATTATCAAGCAGATATTCTACGCTGTTCTTCCCACTCCAATGACAAAATCCAGTATATATAACACAACACATCTCAATTAGGACTAGCCAGGATTTCAAGTGCTCAACAGTTACAGGTGGCTAGTGCCTACTGAATTGGACACTGCAGTTTCAGTGCATTGAATTTCTATCCCACTTAGCGCTAATTAAAACTTCACCCTCTCACCTGATAATTATGTTAAGATCTCAGAAAGTAACCCACTACAGGCAGTTTCAAGCCCTAATTTACCTCTAATTACTCTTACAGCAATGCAATGAATCATGATTTAAAATTTTTAAAAAAATTGCTGTTAAATTATTAGTCAAGAGCCCAGGGCAATGGACAGTAAAGAAATAATGTAGGCCATGGGCCGAGATGACAAAACGGTCCTTTTATTTAAAGCTATAACAATAATCTGAAGCCAGCCCTGTAAAATAGACATCCATTGAAAAAGGCATGCTAGTTCTTTTGCTTTTTTGTGTACTTGGCCTCCTGTGTCCCTAAACAGATCTCTTCTCAGCAGGGTTTGCTCAGCAAGTCACTTGTTGAGTCTTGCGGTCAACAGAGGGCGTAGGGAATGGCAGGGGCTGGCATAGGAGTGAGGGGGAGGAGGCAAGGTGAGGGGGGCCAGGTGAGGAGGGGGGCACTTGAAGGGGAGTTCAAGACCAGCCTGGGCAACATGGTGAGACCACCGCCCCTCACCGCTGCCATCTCTGGTCTCACTCTGGTCTCTCACACATGCACAAATTAAATTTAATTTAAAAATTAAAAAATTGTTTTAAAATAAGTGAAATATTTACATGGATTATGTATCATTCATTTTTTTTTTTTTTTGAGACGGAGTCTCGCTCTGTCGCCCAGGCTGGAGTGCAGTGGCGGGATCTCGGCTCACTGCAAGCTCCGCCTCCCGGGTTCACGCCATTCTCCTGCCTCAGCCTCCCAAGTAGCTGGGACTACAGGCGCCCGCCACTACGCCCGGCTAATTTTTTTGTATTTTTAGTAGAGACGGGGTTTCACCGTTTTAGCCGGGATGGTTTCGATCTCCTGACCTCGTGATCCGCCCGCCTCGGCCTCCCAAAGTGCTGGGATTACAGGCGTGAGCCACCGCGCCCGGCCGTATACATTCATTTTGTAGAACTATAGATCCCATGTAACTGGGAACTCTTTACTCTTCTAACACAACATTTATTTAGCCACAAATAAAAGACCAGTGATGTAGCCTGTACACAAAAAAGTAAGAAAACACTGGTTAGGCTGGGACAGGGGTAGGGGAAAGAGATCTACAAAATTAAAATTTTATTGGGAAGGATCACTAATTAGAATCAGAACAATTACTGCTTTAAAGTAGTTAAGAACAGAGCACAAGGAACCCAGAGAAGAAGCAGATATGATTCAGAGCAGAGCTTACAGAGCAGATGGTATCTGAGCCGAGACTGATAGAATAACATTAATAAGGGCATTCACGGCCATTTATTATCACTTAACTGCAATGCATTTTGTATAAGTTATTTCTACTCTTCATATCAACCATGGAAAATAATACTTATTCTTCTCTTTTGAAGTTAAAGAAGTGGTAAGTGGTCTAAGAAGATAAATTAGCATACCAACACCATATAGCTCAAGTTCAGTGACTCAAGAGGGCCCGCGTCTCCCCAAGAGGTTGCTCAGCAGGCAGGCGAGGTAGAGAGCCCTTCCAAGAAGTGACAGTGAGATGTGAAAGGTCTCAGTGTGTCTCTGAGAACAACAGAAACCAGTATGTAGACCAAGTGGGAAAAGCCACGGAAGAGGCAGGGATTTCCTCTTAAGATAGCAAGAATAAACAGAGCAGGGCTGAGGGAAGCCATGGAAAACGGGCAGAATACCATGCACTTAGTGAGAAAAAAACAGCTTTTACTTTAGAAAGGGGGAAAGAATGGTGGTGGTCTAGGTAAGCCTAGAAGCAGAGGAAAGGGCAATGGAGAAAAAATAAACAAAATGTATGAGTCAGGGTTCTCCAGAGGTACAGAACCAACAAGATACACGTATATGTATAAGGGAGTTTACGAGAGAGAATTGGTTCACACGGTTAGAAGGCAGTCCCACAATAGGCTGTCTGCCAGGTAGGGAAAGAGAGAAGCTAGTAGTGGCTCAGTCCAAGTCCAAAAGCCTCAAAACCAGGAAAACCCGCAGTGCAGTCTTCAGTATGAGGCCGAGGGCCTGAGAGCCTCGGGAAAGCCGCTGGTGCAAGTCCGAGAGTCCAAAGGCATAAGAACCTGGAGTCTCATGTCCGAGGGCAGGAAGAAGGGAAGCAAGTGTCCTGCACGGGAAGAAGAAAAAAAGAGAGCCAGAAGCTTCACCTAGCAAGATTATCCCATCTTCCTCCGCCTGCTTTATTCTATACAGTGCAGCGTGTGTACACCACTTCTGTGATATTGTTCCTAATATCCATGGGAAGAAAGAGTGATGTTACTCCCAATAGCTTATGGGGGTGTACATCCCCTGTGATATTATTCCTAGTATGCAGGGGCAGGGAAAGGATGACATTACTCCCAATATCGCAGAGGGTGTACTCCCCGCCTTGTGATATTTTTCCTAATATTTAGGGGATAGTGGGTGATATTACTCCCAATATCACAGGGGGTGTGCACCCCCCGTGGTATTCTTCCTAATATCCGGGGTGGGGGGAGAGGTTGATATTACTGTCATTGTCACAGGGGGTGTACATCCTCCCGTGGTATTGTTCCTAATATCTGGGGGGCGGAGAGGATATTACTGTCACTATCACAGGGGGTGTAGAACCCTTCAGTGATAATGTTACTAATATCTGGGGGGGAGAGGATGATATTACTGTCAATATAGCAGGGTGTGTACACCCCCCGTGGTATTGTTCCTAATATCCGGGGGGGGGGGGGGAAGAGGAAATTACTGTCAATATCACAGTGGGTGTACACCTCTTCTGTGATATTGTTCCTAATATCCGGGGGGGAGAGGATATTACTGTCAATATCGCAGGGAGTTTACAACCCTTCTGTGATATTGCTCCTAATATCCGGGGGTGGGAGAGGATATTACTGTCAATATCGCAGGGGGTGTACACCCCTTCTGTGATATTGTTCCTAATATCCAGGTGGGGAGAGGATCATATCACTTTCAATATCGCCAAGTGTGTACATCCCCATTGTGATATTGTTCCTATATTTAGGGGATAGTGGATTACATTACTGTCAATATCACAGGGGGTGTGCAACCCCCATGGTATTTTTCCTAATGTCCAGTGAGGGAGAAAACACTACTACTTCCAATATGGCAGGGGGTGTACACGTCCTATGCAATACTGTTCCTATATCCATGGGGGAAAAGGATATTGGGAACAATATTACAAACAATATCACAGGGGGGTGTACATGTCCTGAGATATGAGGAGTAATATAACACTCTCCCCCTCTAGATATTACAAACTGTATCACAGAGGGGTGTAAACCCACTGCGATGTGGAAAGTAATATCATCCTCTCCCCCACTGGATATTACAAATAATATCACAGACGGTGTACATGTGAGGTGTTTATGATATTGGGAGTAACATCATATCCCCCAGTGGATATTATGAACAATATCACAGAGGGGTGTAAACACACTCTGCCTTATAGGGAGTAATATACTCCTCTCCCACCCTAGATATTACAAAAAATATCACAGAGGGTGTACACACAGGGTGTTTATGGTATTGGAAGTAGTATTATCTCCCCCATGGATATTACTAATAATATCACAGGGGTGTGTACATCCCCTGTGATACAGGGAGTAATATCATCCTTTCCCAGCCTGGATATTACAAACAATATGGCAGGGGGCAGTACACCCTTGCGATATGGGTAGTAACATCATCTCCTCCCCGCGTGGATATTATGAACAATATTCTAGGGGGTTGTACACCCCCTGCAATATGGGGAGTAGCATCATCCTCCCCCCCACTAGATATTATAAACAATATCACAAGGGGGTGTACACTTCCTGTGATAAAAGGAGAAATACAGTTCTTTCCCCCCAGAGATATTATGAACAATATCGCAGGGAATTGTTCTCCCATGCTATATGGGGAGTAACATCTTCATCTTCCCCCTGGGTATTACGAGAAATAATGCAGGGGAATGTAAATCCCCTGCGATATGGGGAGTAAAATCATTCTCTCTGGCCAGGAGCGGTGGCTCACACCTGTAATCCCAGCACTTTGGGAAGCCAAGGCGGGCAGATCACGAGGTCAGGAGATCGAGACCATCCTGGCTAACATGGTGAAACCCCGTCTCTACTAAAAATACAAAAAATTAGCCAGGCGCGGTGGCGGGCGCCTGTAGTCCCAGCTACTAGGGAGGCTGAGGCAGGAGAATGGTGTGAACCTGGGAGGCGGTGCTTGCAGTGTGCCAAGATCAGGCCACTGCACTCCAACCCGGGTGACAGAGCAAGGCTCTGTCTCAAAAAAAAAAAAAAAATCAAATCATTCTCTCCCTCCCTGGATATTATGGACAATATCACAGGGGGGTATAGAATGAGTTTCTAGAATATATTTGAGGAGGGTGATGGGCGGTGTGTGCATGCTTCATGGCCTTATTCAATTAAACACTCTGCTCTCAATTTATTGCTAAATCCTCCTTGAGCCCTTAGATTTCATAACGGTTGTCGCGACATTTTTCTGGATGTAGAAAACGTTCCCATTTCTTGCCACCTCATGGGCTACACCTTGACCTAAAGTTTTTGTGTAGATACTTGTGCTTACTCTGCAGCCTTTCCAGGGTTTGCTGAAGATGGGGGTATTTAGGCTGGGCAAGAGGTGGTGAGGTAAATTGGGGTTTATCGATTATAGAACAGGCTCCTTTAGAGGGATATAAAGCACCGCCAAGTCCTTTGAGTTTTAAGCTGTTGCTTGTAGTGTTCTGGCGAACAGTTTTTTTGATCTAACTATTTGAGTTTAGAGTTAAGCATAGCGGGGTATCTACTCCCAGTTTGGATCTTAGCTATTTTGTCTTCAGAATATTAAAGGCACCTTCGTAGTTATTTCAGCTGGGGTTTTTTTACAACTTTTTTACAACTTATTTAGAAACTTTCAGGTTTCTAAATATATGAATGAACCATAATATAAGCCTTGGCCAATACAATGCCGGTTAGGCCTCCTACTGTAAAAAGGAAAACAAATCCCCGGGCTCACAGCATTGCGGGGGATCATTTGATATTACCGCCGTGAAGTGTAGCTAGCTAGTCAGCTAAAAACTTTGATGCTAGTAGGAATAGCAATAATTATAATAGCAGAGGTGAAGCAGGCTCATGTATCCACATCTATCCCTACCGTAAATATACGGTGGGCCCATACAATAAACCGTAAGGATCCAACTGATCCTATAGCTCACACTAGGCCCATATACCTGAATGGTTCTTTTCCAGAATAGTATGTTACGACGTGGGAAATTATCCCAAAGCCCAGTGGGATGAGGATGTAGACTTCAGGGTGACCAAAGAATCTGAATAAATGCTGAAATAAGATAGGATCACCTCCGCCAGCCAGGTAGAAAAAAATAGTATTAAGATTGCAGTCAGTTAACAATATAGTGATGCTGGCGGCTAGGACTCGGAGACAAAGGAGTAGAAGAACTGCTGTAATTAGGACTAATCAGATGAAGAGGGGTGTGTGATATTGGGACATGGCTGGGGGTTTTATATTAACAATTGTGGTAATAAAGTTAATAGCCCCTGAAGTAGAAGAAACACCTGTCAAGTGGAGTGAAAAGATAGTGAAACCTACAGAGGCGCCTGCATGTGTTAGGTTTCCTGCTAAGGGAGGAGAGACTGTTCAGCCGGTTCCAGTGCCGGCTTCTACTATAGTGGATGCAAGTAATAATAGGAAGGAGGGTGGGAGGAGTCAGAAGCTCATATTATTTATGCAGAGAAATGCTATATCGGGGGCGCCAATTATCGGGGGACTAATCAGTTGCCAAGACCTCCAATTATAGTATTACTATAAAGAAAATTATGACAAATGCATAGGCTATAACAATGACATAAATTTGATCATCTAGTAGAGTTCAGCTCGAATAAGGCTTAAAGCTGTACTGACTATCCCTGCTCATGTGCCAAATAATAAATATAATGTCCCGATATCTTTATGGTTGGTTGAGATTAGTCAACTGTCAGCCAACATAAATGAAGTGAGAAAAAAGGGTAAAATGACTGAGTAGGGCATTAGACTGTACATCTAAAAACAGAGGTCAACGCCTGTTTTTACCAGTCCCAAGGTGATTTTCATGTTGAATTGTAAATTCAAAGAAGCAGCTTCAATCCTGCTTCTCTCACCTTTTTTCCCCCAGTGGCTGGAGAAGTAGATTCAAACCAGTTGACTAGGGAGTTTAGCTGTTAAGTTTTCATGGGTTTAAGCCTCATCAATTTAGTAAGGACTTAGCTTACTTAAAGTGATTGATCTGTATTCAATTGACCAAGGGTGTTCTGTATCTGAGAAAGTACATTTCAGGGTCACCATACAACAACTGTTCAAAAAGGCCTCCAATATGGGACAGTCCTATTTATTATCTCAGAAATATTCCTCTTCGCTGGATTCTTTTGAGCATTCTACCATTCTAGCTTAGCCCCTACTCCAGAATTAGGAGGGCATTGACCCCCAACAGGTATTTCTCCCCTTGACCCCCTGGAAGTACCTCTCCTGAATCCATCTGTATTACTTGCATCAGGAGTTTCAATTACTTGAGCCCATCACAGCCTAACAAAAAATAATCAAAAACATGCAAGCCAAGCACTACCTGTTACAATTATATTAGATATTTACTTCACCCTCCTACAAGTCTCAGAATACTTCAAAGCTCCCTTTGCTATTTCTGATGGTATTTATGGCTCAACATTTTTTTATAGCTACAGGCTTTCACAGAATTCACGTCATTATTGGATCAACGTTCCTCAATCTGCCTTCTCCGCCAATTAAAATACCACTTTACATCTAGTCGTCACTTTGCCTTTGAAGCCGCTGCCTGATATCAACACTTTGTAGATGTAGTATGACTATTCTTGTATGTTTCTATTTATTGATGAGGATCTTACTCTTTTAGTGTAAATAGTACCATGATTTCCAAAGTTTTGATAGCATCCGAAAAACAGTAATTCACCTAACATTAACCCTAGTAATCAACACCCTATTAGCCCTGTTACTAATAATTATTACATTTTGGCTCCCACAACTTAATATATATATGTAGAGAGAGAGAAAAATATATATATATGTATAAAATAAATATATATAGAAAAATCTAGCCCTTATGAATGCAGATTTGACCCTCTATCCTCTGCCCACATTCCCTTCTCCATAAAATTCTTTCTAGTAGCCATCACATTTCCCCATTTGAGTTAGAATTCGCCCTACTACTACCCTTACTGTGAGCCCTTCAAACAATCTGATACTAATAATCCCTGCGATATGTGTAGTGACTTCATACTTCACCTCCCCGGATATTACGGCCAATATCAGAGTGGAGTATGCACCCCCTGCAATATGGGGAGTGATATCATCCTCTCCCCACTGGATGTTATGGACAATATCACAGGAGGTTTACTTTCTCTGGGTTATGGGGAAAAATATCCTCCTGTCCCCGCCTGGATGTTAGACATATTTAGAGGGGGTTGTCCACCCCCTGTGATATGGGGAGTAGTAATATCCTCTCCTGCCCTGGATGTTATGGACAATATATAGGGAGATGTACAATCCCTTCGATATGGGGAGTAATATCATCCTCTTCCCCCTAAAAGTTACGAACAATATCACAGGGGGGTGTACACCCCCTGCAATATCTGGAGTAGTATCATCCCCTCCTTCCCTAAATGTTACAGAGACTATCACAGGGGTGTGTACACCTTCTGAAACATGGGAATAATATTCTCTTCCCCTCTGGATGTTATTTTGGACAACATTACAGCCGTGTGCACCCTCTATGATATGCAGAGTAATATCATCCTCTCCCCCCCGGATGTAAGTGACAATACCACAAACGGGTTTACATCCCCTGTGATATGGGGAGTAATATCATCCTCTTTCCCACTGGATATTAACAATATCACTTGGGGATGTACAACCCCTGTGATATTCGGAATAATATCTTCTAATCCACTGAAAATTATAAACAATATCACCAGTATACACTCCCTGTGATATTGGAAGTAATATCATCCTCTAATCCCCTAAAAATTATGAACAGTATCACAGGGGAGTGTATACTTCCTACTATATTGGGAGTAATATCATCCTGTCGTCTTCTAAATATTATGAACAATATTACAGGGGATGTAACACTCCCTGCGATATGTGGAGTAATATCATCCTCTCCTTCCCTAAATATTGTGAACAATATCACAGGAGGTTGTACACAATCTGCGATATTGTTTGTAGTATCCAGTGGGAAAGAGCATGCTATTACTCCCCATATCACAGGGGGTGTACACCCCCACTGTGATATATTCAATAACATCCAGAAGTAATATTACTGACAAAATTGCAGGGGGTGTAAACCCCACCTGTGATACCGTTCCTAATATCCCGGGGAAGAGAGGATGATATTATTCCCAATATTGCAGGGGGTGTACACCCACCCTATGATATTGTTATTAATACCCAGGAGGGGAGACAATGGTATTACTCACAGTATCAAAGAGGTTGTACAGCCCCCCTGTGATAGTTTCTAATATCCAGGGGATGTATACCACCCTTGTGATATTGTTTCTAATATGTAGGGGGAAGGACAATGATATTACTGTCCGTATCACAGGGGGTGTACAACAAGCCCCCCGGGATATCATTCCTAATATCCATGGGAAGAAAGAATATTATAATATCACAGAAGTTGTAAACCCCCTCTGTGATATTGTTCCTAATATCAAAGACAGAAGGGTATGATGTTCTTCCCAAAATCACAGGAAGTGTATACACACCCTGTGCTATTTTTCCTAATATCGAGAGTGAGAGACAATGATACTTCCAATATCGTAAGGAGTGTACACTCTCCCCGTGATACCAGGTGGGGAAATGTTGATATTACTCCAAATGTCACAGTGGGTGTACACACGTTTTGCGATATTGTTCCTAATATCAAGTGGGGAGGAGGATTGTATTACTCCCACCATATTACTCCCCACACCCCATTATACTGTTCTTAATATCCAGATTTGGAGAGGATGATATTACTCCCAAAATCTCAGGAGGTGTAGACCCCTTCTGTGATACTGTTTCTTATATCCAGGGGAAGACTAGATGATAGTACTCCCAACAGTGCAGGGTGTTACACGCCACCCCCCATGATATTGTCTCTAATATCAAGTTGGGGAGAGGGTGATATTGCTCCAAATAGTGTAAAGGGTGCACACCAGCACTGTGATATTATTCCTAGTATCCAGAGAAGGAGAGAATGGTATTATTTTTAATATCACAGAGGGTGCACACCCCCCTTGTGATACTGCTCCTAACATCCAAGGGGTAGAGGATGAAATTACTCCCAATATCACAGTGGGTATACAACCCCCGTGGTATTGTTCCTAATATCCAGGGGGTATAGGACGATAGTACTATAAATATCGCAAGGGGTGTACACCCCTTCTGTTATTGTTACTAATATCCGTGGGGGGAGTCGATGATATTACTTCCAATATCACAGGGCATGTACACCCCACTTGTGATATTGTTCCTAATATCCTGGGAGGAGACTACGATATTACTGGCAATATCGCAGGGTGTGTGCATTACCGTGATATTGTTCCTAATGTCCAGCAAGGGAGAAAATATTACTCCCAATATGGCGGGGATGTACACTTCCCATGCGATATCGTTCCTAATATCCATGGGGGAAAAGGATGATATTACTCTAAATGGCGCAGGAGGTGTAAACCGCCCCTGTGATATTGTTCTCAATATCCATAGGGGGAGAGAATGATATTACTCCCAATATCACAGGTGGTGTACACCCCTCCTTTTATATTATTCCTAATATCCAGGTTGGGAGAGAATAATATTACAGGTAAAATAGCAGGGGGTGTACACTCTGCCTGTGATATTGTTCCTAATATCCCAGGGAAGAGTGGACAATATTACTCTCAATATCACAGGATGTGTACACCCCCTTTGTGATATTGTTCCTAATATCCATAGGCGGAGAGGGTGATACCACTCCCAATAGTGCAGAAAAGGTACAGCCCCGCTGTGATATCATTCCTAATATCCAGAGGGGACAGGATGATATTACTCCCAATATCAGAGAGGGCATACACCCCCTCCCCATGATATTGTTCATAATACCCAGGGGGTAGAGGATGATATTACTCCCAATATCGCAGTGGGTGTACACCCACCCTGTGATATTGTTCCCAATATCCATGTGGAAAGGGTATAAAGTTACTCCCAATATCACAGGGGTTGTACAACCCCCTTGTGATATTGTTCCTTATATTCGGGGGAGAGACAATGATATAGCTGTCCATATTGCAGATGGTGTACCACCCCCTGGGAATTTGTTCCTAATATTCAGTGGGAAAGATGATATTAATTAAAATGTCACGGGGGGTATACAACCCCTTTGTGATATTATTCCTAATATCCAGGGAAAGAAAGAATATTATTCCCAATATCGCAGGGGATGTACACCCCTCTCTGATACTCTTTCTAATATCCCTTTGGGGAGTCTATAATATTACTGGCAATATCATAAGGAGTGTATACCCCCCGTTATATTGTTCCTTATGTCCAGCAAGGGAGAAAATATTAATCCCAATATGGAACAGGGTGTACACACCCATGAGGTATTGTTCCTAATATCCAGGGAGGGAAAGGATGATATTACTCCCAATGTTGCAGTGGTGTATAACCCCCCGTGATATTGTTCCTAATATCTAGGTGAGGAAAGTACAGTATTACTCCCAATATAGCAGGGGTTGTACACCACCTTTGTGATATTGTTCTACATATCCATGGGGAAAGAAAATGATAGTACTCCCCAATATCACAGGTGGTGTACAACCCCTTGTGATACTGTTTCTAATATCCATGTTGGGGGAGGATATTACTCCCAATATTGCACGTGTTGCACAGACCCCCTTTGATATTGCTTGTACTATGCAGGGTGTGGGGGGAGAGGATGATATTGGGAGTAATATCACCCTCTCTCCCCGGATAGTAAAAGCAATATTCAGGGTGGTCGACACTTCCTGCACTATTGAGTATAATATCCTCTCCCAACCTGGATATTAGGAACAATATCACAGGGGCATGTACACTCCCTTCCTTTCACCATATACAAAAATCAACTCAAGATGGATGAAGGACTTATGTAAGACCCAAAACTATATAAACCCTAGAAGAAAACTTAGGAAATATCATTCTGGACATAGACGCAGGCAAATATTTCATGATGAAGATTCCAAAGCAATTGCAACAAGAAGAATTGACGAGTGGGACCTAACGAAACTAAAGAGCTTCAGCACAGCAAAAGAAACTATCAACAGAGAACACCCTACAGAACAGAAGAAAATATTTTCAAATTACATATCTGAAAAAGGTCTAATACTTAGCATGTATAAAGAATCAATAAGCAAAAAACAAACCCACTACAAATAGGCAAAGAACATGAGCCCCCACATTCACCATCCTCAAGTCCATGTGCAACTTCTTTCTGGATGCTGGACAAGGACTTGGGTACCAAGAGGGCACTGAACGGGTTAACACTTAAGCCATCTGTGGATTCTATTTTCAAAAGACAACGTATGTATGGCAAACAACCATATGAAAAAATACTCAACATCACTAATCATCAGAAAATCAGAACCATGAGATACCATATCACACCGGCCAGAATGGCTATTATTAAAAAATCAAAATATAACAGACGGTGCCGAGTTTGTGGAAAAAAGGGAATGCTTATACACTGCTGGTGGTGATATAGAAAGGAGACAGGGAAATACTGGGTAGAAGAGAGTGGTTCCCTGGCAAAGCCCTGCCCACAAGCCTGGAAACCCATGGCCCTAAATGGGAACAGGCATTCCTGCTTTTGCACCCAAAAGTTGTCTTTCAGCTCACCATGCAACCCCTGTCCTGTACCCATATATGCCCCAGACCCCAGGCTCCAGAAGCAGACAAGCAGATGAGGAGATGAACAGAAGAGCAGAATTGCAGAATGATGTGGCAGAAAGAAGAGAAGGAGCATCTGAATGCCAAGAGGAGTTTGGCTGGCAGTGGTTGGAGAGATCAGCCTCTGGATGGCAAAGCTCCCAGGGAAGATCATCTTCCCATTCCATCCCCTTTCCAGCTCCCCATCCATCCCATTGACTGCCACCTCCACCACTCAATAAAGCCCCCACATTCACCATCCTCAAGTCTGTGTGCAACTTAATTCTTTCTGGATGCTGGACAAGGAACTGGGTACCAAGAGGGCACTGAACAGGTTAACACTTAAACCGTCTGTGGATGGCAAAGCTAAAAGAGTGCACTGTAACACATGCCCACTTGGGCTGTGGGAGTCGCAGGAACCCACCCCTAAGACAGTACCATGGCCACTTGCCCTGCCTATTGCAACTGCCTGTCTGCATGCTCCCCTGCCCAGTAAGGGGTTTGACAGCAAACACGGTGGCCAGACAAGCCACACCCCTGTTGCACATCCTGCCAAGGGGAGTCAGGGAACTCTCCAGTTTCATCAGGAATGTAAATTTGTTCAGCCATTGTGGAAAGCAGTTTGGAGATTTCTGAAATAACTTAAAACAGAACTACCATTCAACCCAGCAATCCCATTATTGGGTATATACCCAAAGGAATATAAATCATTCTGTCATAGACATATGCATGCATATTTTCATTATAACACTATTCACAATAGCAAAGACACGGAATCAACTTAGATGCCTGTTAACAGAAGACTGGATTAAAAAAATGCAGCGTACATACACCATGGAATACTACACACCTATAAAATAGGATGAAATGATGTCTTTTGCAGCAACATGAATGGAGCTGGAGACCATTATTCTAAGTGAATTAATGCAGGAACAGAAAACCAAACAAACACTGCATGTTCTCACTTATAAGTGGGGGCTAAACATTGAGTCCACATGGACACAGAGAAAGGAACAATAGACACAAGGTCTACTGTGGGTGGAGGGTGGGGGGGAGAGTGAGGATCAAAAAACTCCCTATTAGATACTACGTTCACTACCTGGATGACTACCTAATCTGTACACCAAATCCCATTGACACACATTTTACCCATATAATAAACCTGCACATGTACCCGCTGAACCTAAAATAAATGTTGGAAGGAAATAAAGTTACAACCAACTCTTGTACTATTGTGAGGAAACAATCATATGAGTTGACAAAAAATCAGCTACTAATAGATTTATAATAGTATATATGTAGCAGAAAAATATCAGATATAACTTATATACCCAAAAGTATGACTTAAAAACAGCATGACAATCTTTATGATGGGATATTGTGCAACTACTAGAAGCACATTTTCAGAGATTATTTATTAACATATGATAATGACTACATTGAGTGGTTTTTAGAAGCATGAATTGAAACCATGTATAAGCATGAATTTATTGAACTTATATATAACATTACACACACATTTACATAATTATAAAATAAGTATGCTCATGTTCATAATATGTATTTATTTATATTCATATGTAAGGCCAATAGGAAGTAATCTCTGTATCTGAGTTATTATTTCATAAATAATTTATGCTTGTTCTGTGAAAATACAAACACTGCTATGGATCTTCCAAGTATCCTGAAAGGATACCGTTTATAATTAAACAATAACAATTTTAGAAATAATTATTTTAAATAAGGCTATGATAAATCTGGTTTCATTGCACACTTTAACTTTGGAACATTTCATGAAGCGTCCCTTGATCACGACTCTCATATTCAGGAGTTTTTTGAGATCAAAATGGGACAATCAGTATGAATCTATTTTTTAGACATGCAAATGGATAACTTTAAATAGCAGTAGCGATATAATCAGAGTGCACAGTTGCTCTGGGACAAAACTTGGAAATGAGCATATTTTTAGATTCTTAATGTTTTACACACTTTAGCATTCCACAGCACCATTACATACTCATTTTTCTACTAGAATACCTTGGTAAAAATTCACAGTAGAGATCAGGCTTGTCCTTCATACATTAACTAATCAAGTAGGAAACTGCAAATGAGAACACAGTGCCAAACATAGGCACCACATGGAAACAAGCATGGAACTGCCAGGAAGCCATTTTTGTAGCTTTGTAGCCCAATTATATTTTTCCTAATGTATTGCACACAAAACTTGGGGGAAAAAAAAGAGGCAGAGAGAAAACAGGTTATATCAGCCCTATCTCACAATCCACAAGTTCATCCTATTAGAGGAGTAACTATGTAAAACAAATTTTATCTGTTGAATGTCCTATTTAGTTAATCGCAAAACTGTATGAGAACACACTTGTGACTTATTTAGCAGCTTGTTTTTTCGCTTTCCACTGGCTTCACAAATGTCCTTTGGAAATAGAATGTGCATTTGGAACCTTGTACACCTTTTCTTTCTCCAGTACCCTGTTGTCACTTCCATCACTAAGGTGACAGAAGCAACTAGGGGCAATGCATTTGTAGCACCCCTGGGTCAGAGGTATCCTCCAGGGGAAGGATCAGACCTGCTTGAAAGCATGTCGTTGGAATTGGGAGGCTTCTAGTAGCTATAACATAAGCACTGATGTTTACTGTTCCCTGCCCTCCACTTTGATCACTCTGGGAAACGTTTTTTTTTTTAAAAATCAATTGTATTGAAACATAATTTACATAAAATAAATACTATTTTAAAGTGTACAGTTTGCTGAGTTTTGCCAGATGTAACCATCCAGGTGAATAAAATTGATTAAACTGATCTTTCAAATAATAAATTAACTTTGCAATCTTGCTAGAAATTTAATTTGTTCACAGTTTATTATCCATTCTATGTACTGCTACATTCAATTGGTTATTATGTTTTAAGGACTTTTGAGTCTATGTTTATGAGGGATAAACATCAAAGTTGTATAATGCCTTTGTCTCGATTTGGAATCGGCAATACTGGGTTCATAAAATAAGACAGGAAGTGTCCCTTTAAATTTTCTTTTCTTTTTTTTTTTTTTTTTTTTGAGACGGAGATTCACTCTTGTTGCCCAGGCTGGAGTGCAATGGCACAATTTCGGCTATCCACAATCTCTGTCTCCCAGATTCAAGCTATTCTCCTGCCTCTGTCTCCCGAGGAGCTGGGATTACAGGTAAGCGCCACCATGCCCTGCTAATTATGTACTTTTAGTAGAGACGGGGGTTTCTCCATGCTGGTCAGGTTGGTCTCAAACTCCTGACCCCAGGTGATCTGCCCATCTTGGCCTCCCAAAGTGCTGGGATTACATGTGTGAGCCACTGTGCCCGGCCCTTAAATTCTATTTCTTAAAAAGAGTCCGTTCAAGATTGATATTATAGATACTCCTCAACTTACAATTGTCTTATGTCTTAATGAACTCATCCTAAATTGAAAATATTGTAAGTCTAAAACGCATTTAATATATTTAACCTACTGAATATCATGACTTAGCCTCACCTACCTTAAACTTGCTCAGAACACTTACATTATCCTACAATTGGGCAAAATCATCTACCACAAGGCCCATTTTAAAATATTCAGTATCTCATGAAATTTATTGAAAACTATACTGATAGTGAAAAACTGGTCATATTGATGCTCATCATTAATGTACACAGATGAAAGCACCATTATCAAGTCAGAAGAGCACAAGTCAAACCACTGTAAGTTGAGGATTCTCTGTACTTTCTTAAATGTTTGATAGAATTCACCTAAGAAAGCATGTAGCCTATAATTATAGAAATCTTTTTAAATTAAAAAAATTCTTCAATACATAGAGAAGCTATTACTTTTTCTATTTCATTTTGCATCCGTTTTAGGAATTAGTTTTACAAATAATTTCCCATGTTATTTTAATTGTCAAATGTATTGGCCTAAAGTTTTCATAATTATATTGATGTCTGTAGGTTCTGTAGTTACATCCTCTATTTAATTCCCATTATCTACATTATGTAGCTTCTCTAATTTTTTTCGAGATAAATCTTGCTAGCCATTGTTTATTAAAAAAATTTTTTTCAAAGAACCAATTTGTGGGTATATTAATTAGCTCCACCTTTTGTTATTTGCTATGTTGTTGGTTTACATTTTTATCTTTATCATCTTCCTTCTTCTTAATTTGGATATACTTTGCTCATTTTTTAGCCTCTTAAAAAAGAACCTAAAGGTCATTGATTGAAGCCTTTTATTTTCAATATATTACATCTATAAATGTACCTTTAAGAAACGATTTATCTGCATCCCACATTTTATTAAGTTTTTAAAAAATTTTCTTTCAGTTTAAACTATTTTTTTGTGTGTGAAACTTTTCTTGGACAATGGGTTTTTCTGAAGTATTTTGTTTAATGTCCAAATGTTGGGGTGTTATTGTACATATCCTACTGTTGTCCATCTCTGGTTCATGATACAATGCATGTTCTCCATTGCACTTAGATAACATGCCTCCATGTCTCTGGAGAATTC